>NC_000007.14:144306864-144458379 GCF_000001405.40 Homo sapiens
GTCTGCAAACCCTGTTTGGTTTTCTGTAAAGCCTTCATTACACAGGCATGATTGATTACATCATTGGCCATTAGTGATCAACTCAAACTTCAGGCCCTCTCCCCTCCCCAGAGGTTGAGGTATAGGCTGAAAGTCCCAACCCACTAAACATGCCTTTGTTTTTGTAGTAACCAGCCCCTATCCTAAAGTTATTTCAGAGCTCCCTGCCAGCAGTCATCTCATTAGCATACCGTCTAAGTCCATTTTGTGTTGCTATAACAGAATATCACAGACTGGGTAATTTATTTAAAATAGAAATTTATTTCTCAGAGTTCTGGAATCTGGGAAGTCCAATATCAAGGTGTCAGCATCTGCAGAGGGCCTTCTTGCTGCATGGTGAAAGGTGAGAGGATGAGAGAGGGACAAACTTGCTTTTGTAACTAACCCAATCTCCACATAACAAATCCACTCCTGAGACAACACCATTAATCCATGCATTAAGTCAGAGTTTTCATGACCTAATCACCTCTTAGAGGTCCCACCTTTCAACACTGTTACATTGGAGATTAAGTTTCCAACTCATGAACTTTGGGGGACACATTCAAACCACAGAACATACAAAAGATACTCTTATCACTCTGGGGATTCCTAGAGTTTTAGAAACTGTACGCCAAGAAATGGGGACAAAGACCAAATATATATTTCACAAAATTATGGGTTCCTCTCCCAATTTACCACCTACTCACTGCATGACCTTAGAGAAGTCACTTAATTCCTCTGCACATTGGTTTCCCCACATATAAAATGAAATGTCGGACTAGATGATTGTTAAGTTCCTTTTAGTTCTCAAATTCTATGCCTTTTTATTAACTTCCTAGAATGTATGTTGTTTTTCTTTTACATAGGAGACAAAATTAAATGGAATTTTTGAGAATAATTTTTGAGAATTATTCTCGAACTCCTGAGCCTCACAAATAGTAGGAATTCAAGAGTAACCACAAAATTAATTATTGATTTCAATATATTTATGCTGTATGAACTATGAATGGCATAAGACTTGCAGAATAAGGCAAAAGAAGTTTCACATTAACTGTCCTCTCTAAGGAAGTAAAAACAGTTTCATTACCCTATTTGAAAAAGATTAAGAATAACTTTTATTCACAGAGTTTCCCAGATCTGTACATTTGTGCTGGCATTGCACAAGTGACATAATAATATTAATTCCTGGCATTTATTGAGTACTTGTTTCATATCAAACAATGTTTTACACATATGCATTTATGTCTAATCTAATCTTCATAACAATTGCCAGAGGGAAGTATTACTATTATATACAATTTATACATGAAAAAAATCAAGGCACAGAGATGTTAAGTACACCTCAGACAGCTAGTAGGTGGCACAGGAGGACTTTTCTTTAGGTGTTCCAAAGGCCAGAGACTATGTCTGTAACTATTATACTAAGTTATACCAATCTCCTCCAGCCTGGACATATGGAGTCTTTTCTACCCATGATTAAAAGCTTGAGAAAAATGAGCCTGAATTTTTGACTGGCCTGAAATTTCATCCTAAGAAAGAGGATAGTAATGCAGCTAATATATTTTAACATAGGTGAAAAAACCAAAAGGGTAATACACAAATCCATGAGAAAAATGGACAAAAATATGTAGATACAGACAACAGAATAAACACAACATACCAATAAATATGACAATGTCATCTATCTCAATCAGGAAATCTACTATAAAATGAGATTTTTTTACTCAATAGATTGTGAGGGGAAAATGGTGTTACATGTGATGTTGATGACACTCACACATTGTTGGTGGAGGTATAAATTGGCACACATTTTGGATTTAAAAAACTGAAATTATTTACCCAACATTTAAAACACGCATACTAATTCTAAGAATCCATTCTACAGAAATACTTACATATGTAACTGCACAAAGAAATGTGTACATGGATTTGGTATTAAATTGATTTCAAAAATTCAAAAGATCAAGTGTTAATTTTGAAATTACTAAATTATGAAAAATGTTACACAGCTATTAAATAGAACAAGTATTATCTAAAATGAGCTGCAATGAAAATAGCTCATCAAATATAGCTAAATGAAAAAAGCAAGTAACATTTTTATAAGACTTTGTCATTTGTGCAGGGAAATCTCCTAGCTATACATAAATTCGTACACCTGTATATGTGTATGTGAGTACACATGTATGCACATGTGTGTTTACATACATCTGTATTTAATTTCGTGATCTGGAATGATGTACATTAAGTAGTCAACAGAAGTTGCTTTAGGCAGAGGAATGAACTAGGAGAAATAAACCCTTCTATGTTTTTCAATAATATTACAGGAAACACGTATTAATGTTAGAATTTCTAAAAAGCCTTTTCTCAAAAAACGTCTGGCCCCTTAAGTTCTCAAAACAGTACACATTTCTCATATATTTTAGTAAAAGCCAAAATTAAGCAATTATTAAAAGCAGTTTAGAATCTTGTTGGATTGTGCTAAATTGTATCAAAGTGTTTCCTCAAAAATATCATTTTGTATCACTTACATTATTATTCAATATTGGGCTATGTTTAAGTAAGTTAACCTATATTATTAATTAAAATAGTTTGCATGAGAAACCAAATAGCACACAAAATAAACCATGACTCCTCAGACTCTAAGATAACTGCATGACATAAGCAAAAAGTCAGTATTTCATGCCATATGTTGATGCTTTTTAGAATATGAATTGATCTCGAGAGCTCCTAATACCTTAGCTTTAGAGTTACTAGCCCTTCCTCATTCCTCTCATCGCCATAGTAATGTTAAATAATGTATTAGGTAGGATAAACAGCAACAGGTAAACTCCCAAATCACAGTGATTTAACAAAATAAAACTTTACATCTTGCTCATGTAAAGTCCTAGGCAGGGATGACAGACAGCCTTCCACTGGTGATGCAGGGACCCAGGCACCTTCCATCGCATGGTCCCGCCATCCTAGAGCCCTGTAGGCCTTCACTTCCAGCCAGTGATGGGAAGGCCAAACATGGAGGAGGCATGCCCTCCTCCTCCATGCATGCCCTCCTTCCACTGCAGCCCTGGAAGCTGCACAAGTCTCTTCTGCTTGTATACCTTTTGTAAGAACATGACCCCACCTAAATATAAGAGGGCTGGGAAATGCAATCCCACACTGGCAGTTAAGTCCAGAGACAATTGTGCAAGGGAAGAAGACCCCACATCTTTTAAGGAATTTGTCTTAGTTAAGGTAACACTAGCAGCTGAAACAAACCCTAAAAGTAAGTCCTTACAATTATTTCTCTTTTGTTCTCTGTTTCAAAGGATTTCAGATGAACTTCTGCCCTTTTAACTCATAATTATTCATGAAATATAATTGAGAACATTAGCATTTTCACTCTCTTCTCATTCCACTTCTGTCATGCCATCCTGAAGATATATTTACCTATGTCTTGGCTGTTTCTCCGAACATTATTAGCTGCTCTTTTATAAAACATCTCTTAGGATAATTTACTCTGTAAGGTGGCTAAACCCACCCATCTTATGTTAGCTTTTGTCTGTATTACTCTCAAATGAACTCTGTGGTCAAATTCTAAAAGTACTTTAAGCATAGAAGTTATAAATGTTCAATGAAATCAAATGCCCAATGCTGGAAGATCATGTAAATATTTCTCATTTCAATTAATATTGGCTGTGTCGTTTATGTGCTGAGTTCTTTCATATACTTTTGTGTCATTTTTACTGTCTTCAACAGAAGTTATTTCAATTTAATTTTAACAGAATATTGACAATTTTGAGTTATAGCTATTGATATTCATGTTCCTAAAGGGTTTTTGCTAAGTTTTTGTTTGTGTGACATTCCCAAATGTTATACTTACTTACTAATTATTTTCTATCTTTTTAATTTTTATACCCTCAAATGTGTGTTTATAACCAATGTTCCTAAGGTGTTGGTTATATAGAAATGAATTCTCTAAAGCCATTATTCACAGAACTTTCAGCTGACTACTTGCTCCCAAAAGGCAGTTTCCTGATTTCTGCATACTGGCGTATCATGCAAACATCTGTAAGCATATCCATTTCTACTAAGATCGGACTGTTCTGTCTGTGTTATTTTCCTTCGTATACTTTTACGTTTTGTATGTGTTTACTCTGACCATTTTTAGAAGCTTAAGCTTCTTCAACTTGATATGTGATAAATCATGTAATTTGAGGCGATGCATTTCCTAAATTAGTTTGTTTGGCATCATAAAAACCTTATATTTAACTTGTTTTAGCTCACATTTTCTGTTTTCTACCTTAAAATGACTTTTTCTAACTGATGTTCATATGATGAGGAATATGGGAAAAAGTTCTAAAATTGTTGTTTTCACAGGCTTGTCATTTATATCTGTTGCACTTCACCGGGGTGTGGAAAGAAAAATAAAGAAAAGATTCTAATGTTTATGGATGGCCTACTAGGCACTAGACTTTTCATATGATCAGGAGCATTTTTGTGTGTCCCCAAAGCAATTCACTGTGGACATATACAGCTGGAACACAGGTGAGCGTGTTCTCACACCCTGATTACCTGGGCAAGATTTTCCTTGGGTTTATACCATAACCCCAGCAGGTCAAAGACCACATTGTAATAAACTCATTAGTTTGTAAATTGCATAATTGCTTAATATAAAATTCATAATCCTCCTATGTCCAGTAGAAGAAAGAAGTAGAAATAAACATGAAAATACCTTTGACCAGCAAATATCTCCACCCTCCAGGGAGAGGTAGTAGCTTCTAGGGAAACCATCTTGGAGAGGGTCCTGTCTTCCCCTGAGGTGGGCTCTGAATCCAGCACTCTTCCCCTTTCAGAATAAAGATTAGAGAATAATTCTAATACACGATCTACAGTGGTGGTTTGTGTCTTAGGAGACCCTCCCTTCAGGCAGGTTCTAATAAGCCCCACCGGGACACCTTGGCCCCTCCGTTGACTCCCCAGTCTGCTCTGTGCCTCCCTCACCAGCTCCCCAAAGCATCTCCATACCTTGGAGGGTCACTTGGAACCAGCTAACTTTTCAGGGTCCTTTCTTCCCAGTTCTGCTGCAACACAAGTAACCCAGATTACATCAGGGAGAGGCTGAGCTACAGAGGTTCCTGCCAGGAGCTTATTCATTGTCACACTGGTTCTGCTTCCTGACAGGTTCACTTGAACCATCTGAAGCATGGGGAACAAGGGCAGTGCTGGGATTCATGAAATCCAAGCATTCCGGGACTATAATGAAAGATGTTGTCTCAGAGGTGTGCTCTGTGGCTGTCGGTGTTTGTTAATTGTGCATCCTGCTGGGGTTAAGAACAGAAATAGAAAAAACCAATTGTCCTGTCTCTCCTTCCCCAAGGAGATGAGCATGCAGGAGGTTTCATGGCCCAGCTCCTCCAGTGATCACTCAGCTGTCAACCAGGCTGAGCACATCAGAGAATAACACCTCCTTTTCTGAGGATTCTGATACATTTTCAATCAGAAACAGAAGCAAAGATTCTGCAGCTCCCACAGAAACTCCCAGAAACCTTCAGGTGCTTCACTCTTCTGAGATCCTTGAGTCCAAATGTGGGAGCTAACCAGGCTGCCTCTTTTTACTTTACCATGAATTCCTCCTAGACATGTTGTAGCTCCTGGTCTTGGTTAACTTTCACATCCACTACAAACATTGGTAAGGAAATTCACTCCTCTCTAATTATGTGCTGATTATCTTTCTGCAATGGGGATAGTTTGAGGGAAAGTTCATGCTAACTTCTTTGAACATATTATCACAAATAATGTATGTATGTAGAGAATTAAGCTAATTTTTTATATGATGGAGAAGTAACTGCATGAAAGCAACAAAACTATAAACATCAATGCCAGATTTAAATAAATAAAGAATACATCATCCATAAAATTAACATGTTGACTTCCACTGCCATAATCAAGACTACAAAATCAGCTTTAGAGGATCATGGTTTTAAGGGACTATTGTGAACCTTGAAGAGGCAATGCTTGTCAGGTTCATACAATCTTCAGGCTACTCAAGAAATTGTTAAAGACTGATAATAATTGATCTCAGCCATTAAGTGTTCACTGCATACCAGAAATGTGTTCAATGTATAACACAGATCATCTCAATTAATCTTCACAACCACCTCATAAAATAGGTACTATCACTTTTCTCCTTTTTAAAAAAGAGGAAACGAGTTTGGAGAGGCTAAGATATGTGCTCAAGGTCATATAACTAATAAATGTGCATCTGACCACTAAGCCCATGGCTCTTTAATTGCTACTTTTTTTGTTTCTTTCAGTGTTTACTCTGCCTGAGAACCTGATCCGCAGAAGAATGTGGAGAGTTCATTAATGTTTTGCTTTCTCATATTTAATCAAATTGATATCTAGTTAGTCAATAAATAATTATTGAATACCTACCATATTCCAGGCACAATATATAGTCAAATGTATTTCACCTTTTTAGTCACTTACTAGATCAATAAATCAAATGAATGAATGAATGCCTAAATATCATTTTTTGGTTTTTTTTGTTGTTGTTTGTTTTTTTACCATCTTTGGACTGAATCTGGAATTTCTGGCTTGCTTAAATCTTGCCTACTATAATCGGTATACTTGAAAGACACTACTATTTCTCCACCCACCCCCACCCCATAGTTTCTTTCATTCTATGTGATACAAAGAAAATCTCATTTAAATGCAAATGGATTAAATTCATCAAAGGATTGGAAAAAGTGAAAGAAGATACTAAAAATAAAATTAAATATAACCCAGTTGCAAACATAACGTTCAGGCATTGTGTATGTTTTAAATGATATATATGTACAAGTTAGCCATTTAAAAATTTGGCAAATTATTTTATGACTAATAAATTATCCAACATCTCCATGATTTCTAAGTAAATATGTAAGACTGAAATCATTTCTTTGCAGATGACCAAACCTGTCTATTTCAAAAAGTAAAACTTAAGATCTGATGAGCCAACAAACTCCTAATGAGTCACATCATATTCTTTAAATAAAAGCTATTTTTAAATCCTCAGGTCAAATAAAGTATTAGATGCTTTACTCCCGAGTAATAAGAATATTTGAGGCCAGGTGCAGTGGCTCATGTCTGTATTCTCAGCACTTTGGGAGGCTGAGGCAGAAGGACTGCTTGAGGCCAGTAGTTTGAGACCAGCCTGGACAACACAGTGAGACCCTATCTCTAAAAAAAAGTTTTTAAAAAAAGGTAGCCAGACATGGTAGAGCACACGTGTAATCCCAGCTACTGGGGAGGCTAGGTGGGAGGATCACCTGAGCCTAGGGAGGTTGAGGTTGCAACGAACTATGATTGCGCCACTGCACTCCAGCCTAAGTGACAGAACGAGATCCTGCCTCAAAAAGAGAAAGAAAAAAAAAAAGACAAAGGAGTGTTATGAGTGTATTAGTTTTAACAAATATTCTTTTTTTCCTTTTCTTTTTGTTGAGACAGGGTCTCACTCTATTGCCCAGGCTGAAGTGCAATGGTTCTATCATAGCTCACCACAACCTCAAACTGCTGGGCTCAAGCAACCCTCCTGCCTCAGCCTCCCAAGCGGGTAGAACTACAGGCATGTGCCACCACGCCCAGCTACTTTTTTTGTTTCTGTTTTACTTGTTTTTTTGAGACAGGGTTTCACTATGTTGCCCAGGCTGGTATTAAACTACTGGTGTCAAGCAATCCTCCTGCCTCAGCCTCCCAAAGTGCTGGGATTACAGGCATGAGCCACCGCATCCAGCCTCAAATATTTCTGATTCTTGGAAATAAATCATCTAATACTTTACTTGACCTGAGGATTTAAAAATAGCTTTCATTTTAAGAATGTTGTGTGACTCATTAGAAAGGAGTTTGTCAGCTCATCAGATCTTAAGTTTTACCTTTTGAAGTAGACAGGTTTCGTCATGTGTAAAGAAATGATTTCAGTCTTACATATTTACTTAGAAGCCATGGAAACGTTGGTTAATTTATTAGTCATCAAATAATTTGCCAAATTTTTAAATGGCTAACTTGTACATATATATCACTTAAAGCAAGCTTGTCCAAATTGCAGGTGGCCCAGGACAGCTTTGAATGTGGCCCAACACAAATATGTAAATTTTCTTAAAATATTATGTGATTTTTTTTTTAAGTTCGTTAGCCATCGTTAGTGTTAGTGGATTTTATGTGTGGCTCAAGACAATTCTTCTTCTTTCAACATGGTCCAGGGAAGCCAAAAGATTGGACACCCCTGAAAGTATACACAATGCCTGAATGTTACATTTGCAACTGGGTTATATTTAATTTTTTTTTTTAGTCTCTCCTTTCACTTTTGCCAACCCTTTGGTAAATTTAATCCATTGAGTTAAGTAAGATGTTCTTTGTATCATGTAGAATGAAAGAAACTATGGGGGAGAAAAAGAAAATAAAAGTGTCTTTCAAGTATTCAGATTATAGTAGACATTCCAGATTCAGTCAAAGGATGGTTAAAAAAACTATGCATTCATTCATTTATTCATTTGTATTTATTCATTAATTTGTCCACACAGTAAGTATTTACTGTCAGGATTACAAAAGTGAGAGCACCTTTTCCTTGTTCACAAGGAGTGTGTTAACAACCCAGTCCTGTAAAAGAAATCAGGGTTTCAACCCATGTGGCAACTGTCCTTAAAGAATCTGAGTGTCTTCACCAAGCTCTCCTTTCTTCTTGACTCTCCATCTAGCTTTCAAAGAAATTCATACTTGTGCATAGTGGATTTTTTTTCTTTGTATAATCATTTGGGGAGTTACAAAAGGAAATAATGAAGGACTAAATAAAGAAATTAAGTTTTTTATAAGATGTAGACTGGGTACACGGTTCATGCCTACAATCCCAGCACTTTGGGAGGCCGAGGTGGGAGGAGCACTTGAACCCAAAAGTTTGAAACCAGCCTGGGTGACATAATAATACATTGTCTGTACAAAAAATATTTATTTAAAAAAATTAGCTAGGTATGGTGGCATGCACCTGTAATCCCAGCTACTTGGGAGGCTGAGGGGGAGGATCGCTTGAATCTGATATGTCAAAACTACAGTGAGCCGTAATCACACCACCGCATTCCAGGGCAGGTTTCACAGGGAAACCGTCTCAAAAAAATAAATAAATAAATAAAGATGTTTATAAGGTGTAAATTCAAATGCATTTCACAACCAAATATTTCATATGCTTTGCGTGTTTTCCAATTAAATGTAGAAGGTTGGCCTAGGAGAGTATTTTTTTAATAGAATCCTGAAAAAAAAATATAACCCTTGGCCATGTGTTATGAAGTTACAATATTCACTAGAATTTATTTGTGTCTTGCTGATAATAATCAACAATTTATTGATAATGCTTATAAGTATACAATCATTTGTTACCACTGGAAAAGGATCCAGTGGGAACGTTCTTTAGGGCTCCAATTAGATTAGTTTTTTAACTTTTTCTTTTCTAACTTTTAAGTTCAGGGGTACAAATGCAGGTTTGTTACATAGGTAAACAAACTTGTGTCTTGAGGGTTTTTTGTACAAATTATCTCATCACCCAGATATTAAGCCTAGTACCCATTAGTTATTTTTTGTGATCCTCTTCCTCCTCCCACCCTTTACCCTGTGATAGGCCCCAGTACTGTGTTGTTCCCCTCTATGTGTCCATGTGTTCTCATCATTTAGCTCCTGCTTATATGTGAGAACATTCGGTATTTGGTTTTCTGTTCCTGCATTAGTTTGCTAAGGATAATGGTCTCCAGCTCCATCCATGTCCATCAAAGGACAAGATCTCATTCTTTTTTTATGGCTGCATAGTATTCCATGGTGTATATGTACCACATTTTCTTTATCCAGTCTATCGTTGGTGGACATTTAGGGTGGTTCCATGTCTTTGCTCCAATGACAGCTGGACCAGGGTCTTATCAAAAGCAGCATATTTCCTTAATCTGGAGAAGTTCTCCTTAATCCAGAGAAGCTTTTTCTTCAGAGATAAGCAGGTTCAACGGCTCAGCCGCAGGTTATTTTTGCCTAGCAAAGGCACTAACAAAAACATGTGCACTGGCAAAATACTGGATTTCTACATGGTATATTGAGGAAAATGTTATCTAGGACTTAAGGACAAAAACCCAAATATTATTTGGCACATCACCAATTCACAAATACCAATTACCTGACAATTTATTGCTATAATAATCTGCAAAATAATGAAGTCACTAAATTAGCTCTTTGCAAAAAAAGTTTTAATTAGCCACCTGTAAAGTGTTTAGCAATTCTTATGTTGCTGAAGCACAATTAATTTTTTATGAATGGTCATTTCTGGTGTTTTTGAAAGATACTTCATTTAAATTTTTTCTCCATAGTTTCTTTCATTCTACATGTAAAAAGAACATCTTACTTAAACACAAATGGATTAAATTTACCAAAGGGTTGGCAAAAGTGAAAGGAGAGACTAGAAAAGAAATGATATATAACGCAGTGGCAAACATAACATTCAGGCATTGTGAATGTTTTAAATGATAC
Organism: Homo sapiens; assembly: GCF_000001405.40. Taxonomy (NCBI): domain Eukaryota; kingdom Metazoa; phylum Chordata; class Mammalia; order Primates; family Hominidae; genus Homo; species Homo sapiens. The sequence goes on from NC_000007.14 coordinate 144,317,395, forward strand.
GTATGTACAAACTCGCCCAGAAAAATCTAATTTCTACAAATTGTGTGAGTTGTTATTCAAAACCAGTTTTTGGTAAATCAGTAACTGTGCATCAATCAGTAGATTAACTGCCAAATCACCAATTATCGGTTCCTATTTATGACCCATTGTAAAATAAAGATTGCAATTAGAACCCATTTGTAGCACATCCATTAGTTCCTTCTCAGGAACCCAAACAATCACAATGTCATTAAAATTGTTTTTTGTCTTTCTACTTCTTCTGTTATTATATAAACTGCTCCAGAGTGCAAAGGTTGATTTCAGATGTTGAAAGCAAAATAGTTGATATTTCTACTGAGAAACTGGGATTACATCATCTTTTTTTCTAGGACTACTCTAATTCCCATATTTGGAGTTCTTCCATTACTGATTATTTCTACACTTCAGGAATTCTCTTAGTAATTTTTATATGTGCAGCTTCAAGACAATCCTTATTAGATGGTCATTTTACTTCCACTTTTGGTACGACATTCTTTCTTCCCATGATGTGTCAATGGCTCTATGTATCCTATCACTGGTGACACAATCCCTTCTATAACACTGGATACTTACAATCAGTAATTAACTTAATGTGTAGCTCAATCACTAATGTTAAAAGTTTATCTTTTAAAAATGACTAAATTCATAAAATAATGTCTAGGTGTTTTTTGACAATCTGGTCCTAAGTGATCTTTTTCTTTTTCACAGGGAAATGGGGGAAAATCAGACAATGGTCACAGAGTTCCTCCTACTGGGATTTCTCCTGGGCCCAAGGATTCAGATGCTCCTCTTTGGGCTCTTCTCCCTGTTCTATATCTTCACCCTGCTGGGGAACGGGGCCATCCTGGGGCTCATCTCACTGGACTCCAGACTCCACACCCCCATGTACTTCTTCCTCTCACACCTGGCTGTCGTCGACATCGCCTACACCCGCAACACGGTGCCCCAGATGCTGGCGAACCTCCTGCATCCAGCCAAGCCCATCTCCTTTGCTGGCTGCATGACGCAGACCTTTCTCTGTTTGAGTTTTGGACACAGCGAATGTCTCCTGCTGGTGCTGATGTCCTACGATCGTTACGTGGCCATCTGCCACCCTCTCCGATACTCCGTCATCATGACCTGGAGAGTCTGCATCACCCTGGCCGTCACTTCCTGGACGTGTGGCTCCCTCCTGGCTCTGGCCCATGTGGTTCTCATCCTAAGACTGCCCTTCTCTGGGCCTCATGAAATCAACCACTTCTTCTGTGAAATCCTGTCTGTCCTCAGGCTGGCCTGTGCTGACACCTGGCTCAACCAGGTGGTCATCTTTGCAGCCTGCGTGTTCTTCCTGGTGGGGCCACCCAGCCTGGTGCTTGTCTCCTACTCGCACATCCTGGCGGCCATCCTGAGGATCCAGTCTGGGGAGGGCCGCAGAAAGGCCTTCTCCACCTGCTCCTCCCACCTCTGCGTGGTGGGACTCTTCTTTGGCAGTGCCATCATCATGTACATGGCCCCCAAGTCCCGCCATCCTGAGGAGCAGCAAAAGGTCTTTTTTCTATTTTACAGTTTTTTCAACCCAACACTTAACCCCCTGATTTACAGCCTGAGGAACGGAGAGGTCAAGGGTGCCCTGAGGAGAGCACTGGGCAAGGAAAGTCATTCCTAACTGGTGTGACATTTGACTCTCCCTCCTCAGTCATCTCCTGGAATCTTGGTACCAAATACCACCTAAGTTCACTACTCTCTTTATATCTGAGACTGAATGAACCAAGAGACTCTGCAAAGCATTCCTTTTTCCTGCCTGGGAAGTATTTAGTTTTTGATGCATTTGTTATACTTAACATTTTTTAATTTAAGCACTTATTGAGTTGAGAATGTCGGGGAAAGATTTATTTTGTACACTGCTATGAGTCCAGAAGTTTAAAACAGACACTCCACCTGTGACTTAGTCAGGTATGCTCAGTAGTAGAGGAATAGCAGTTATTACCAGATAAAGTCATATCTATAAAAAGTTTTTAAAAATACAGCCACAGGCAGAGACTCCAGAACCCATTGATACCTCTGTCCATTTTCATCCTCATTTGGATGTTTCCCCTCAATTGTACTTCCTTTCTTATAAGCAGTAAATGTACCTAAGTGCCTACTTCAGCTTGGAGGGAAATTGATTTTTATAAAATCCTACAAACTGACAATTTCTGTTGTCAGAGAGAGTGAATCCATAAACATTCAGCTGGCAATCTGAAGCAATTACACAACAAAATCCACTTTCCAACCTGCCCTGAGACTGTGATGGTCACTTGTTTCTACTCTTCTCACCTCCTCCAGGGGACTGTCTATGATTGTCTCTAAATAAGCACATGCTCTTCACTTAGAGGAAGTTAGTACCACCACACAACTTTTCACTGCTGGGGACGAATGGAAAGCCCCACACAGAGACAATTCAATGGAAAAAAGCGTTTTAATAATAATGTTAATAGTTAGCATTATTATAAATTACTCTGCACCATCCACTGCACATTGATAGGTACTTTATAGAGATAACCTCAGTTTATCATTATAGCCAATTCATTTCCCATTATTATCCCATTTTATAGATGTGAACTTCAAGCAGATGGTAAATGTTAGACTCATACCCAAACAATCTGGCTCCCAAGCCTTCTTTACTTAACCAGGACAATGTGGGACTTTATTAGCAACATTTCAAATTAAGAATAAGTCTAACCAATCCTAACGTAGGATATGTTAAGTGAATGTGGGTTTCTTCCCCATCTAGAATGTGCCATGATGAGGCCAGGAGAGTCAGAGATTATTTATGGAAGGCTTCTTATCCTGTTTGACGAGTCCTGTGGGCATGGCTGCAAAGGAGGTTAAGAGATTCAGAGGAACACAGAACACAGACAGGGTGGGAGTAGAGGCTGTTCTCAATGAGATTAGAGAGTAAGTTTAGAACTATACTTGGTTCTGGGTGGTAAGATCCAGAACAAAGACATCTCTAGTTCACATACAACACTCACATGCTCACGTACATGCGTGTGCACACACACACACACACACACACATATACGCACAGTGCTTAGTGAAGCACTATTCCAAGAACCTTACAAGTAAGAGCTCTTTAAGTCCTCATAAAAACCCTATGAGGTAGAGACTATTACTACTATTTTTAGGCGAGAAAACAGAACTATAGAGAGATTATATAATTTAACCAATGCTCCCAGCTAATAAGTACCTAGTCCAGAATCAAACTTAGGCAATATGACTGCTGAACCCATAATCGTAACCATTATATAAAAATCAAAGAGATCATGAAATTTCCAAAGATGAAGAGGAGGAGAGATGAAAAGCAATTTTCAATCTCTAGCCAAAGATAGGCATTGGGCTCCAGACAGAAAAGTACTTAAAGCTGGGGGAAAAACAAACAAACAAACAAACAAACAAACAAAAAACAGCTTTTTTTATACTGGTGCGTGAAATGAGATGAGGTGGTAGCAAGAAGGAACTGTGACTCCAAGGGTCAGAGACGGAGGAGGAGCCTCTTGACGGGCAGGATGGTGAAACCAAAAACAATGGATAAAACTTTTAAGTTGATGGTTCATCAATTGAAGAACATTAGAAAGTGTTTTTGTAAATTATCTAGCCGGGCATGGCAACGTGTGCCTATATCCCCAGCTATTCGGGAGGCTGAGGCAAGAGGATCACTTGAGCCAGGGATTTTGAGGCTGCAGTGAGCCATGATCGCACCACTGCATTCCAGCCTGGGTGACAGAGTGAGACCTTGTGTCCAACAATAATAAAAATGAAATAATTTATTAAATTTTTTAAAATTACCCAAACTGGATATACAATTTGTAATTCCATTGCTGCCGAACAGTTTTTAAACGGTTGTTTAGTTTCACGGCAGATGCTGCATACTGCATTGCAACTAACACTGGGAAGGGATACATTCAAGTGGCAGGACAAAGGTGAGGAGCTCTAATACCAGGGGTAGGTTTCAAGGGATGAATACTCCCCTGGTACCAGAGGAGCAGCAGGAAATCATGGTGTGCAGAAACCATGCTCAGGCGGTTGCCTGTGTGGACCCTAAATTCTGTGTGTGCAGTCCTCTCTTAGGATTGGCCCAGGCATCCAAGAAGCCCACGATGCTGCCTACCCCTTAAATACACAAGGTGCGTACCGGAGGCCCTGGTTCTAGTTCCAGATGTACCATTTGCTAGCTGTGTTTTTTGCAGAGAAGTCCCTTAAACTGCTTAAGCTTCAGTCCTTCATCTGAAAATTATGCATATGGAAGCTGTTTAGGACACCACAGAGTGCCACTGAAAACCCAAAGCAAGATGCAAATGGACACATTTTTTTTCTGAAGACTTAAAAGTGCTATGTGAACATAAGATAAACTGTTATGATTACCCTGCTGTCAGAAGTTATTTTAATCCTGTCAGGGTTGCTAAACTTTCTGATCTGGAACCAAAATTGCTCTTTAAACAGGAAGAGCATTGGTGCTGGTAGGTCACCTACGCCTTTGCCCTCATGGCTTCCCCTTGTCCCCCCTAGAGGCACAGGAGGCCACTCACTCTTGGAGGGCATAGCTGGACCAGGAGCATGAGCTGTGGCCCAGACTCAGGGAACCTCTGTGAGTCAGCTGGCAAAGGCTCCCGGGGAGCCTGTCTCTGAATCTGGTCCTAGCCCGTTCACTTGGAAAAAACAGGAGACTTCTCCCAAGGTCAAGGAATTCAGATTTTGGTTTTGGTTTCCAACTTTTTGTAATCCTCAACCTGGGATTTACAGTGCATGTCTCAATTATGTTTCATTCATTGCTTCACAAAGGGAAGGACAAGCACTGGTTCATCTCTTTACACCTATACATTCCTAGCACAGAGTGAGTACTCACAAAAAACATACGGAATACATAGAGGACACTTTATCTGTTGACCCCATTTCCAAATTTTCAGTGTTGAGCCATCTTCTGATTTCTAAACTTCTTTAAATCCCTCTAATTTTAGGTTATACTACAGTAGAAATTTAATTGTAGCTGATAATTATTGAGCACTTACTATGTGGTTGGCACTGCATAAAATGCTTTAGAAAAATTCTTACATCAAATATGTGGAGTAGGTACTAATACTATCCTAACATTAAAGGGGGGGAAATAAAGTTTAGTGTAATTAATTAATTTATTCAAGGTCGCCAAATCATTCAGTGGTAGAAACATGAATCAAGACCAGGCAGTCTGACTGTAAATAAATTCTGAGCCACTCTCTTGCAGAGGACCTCCTGATATTCATCTCCTGAATGGTTGGCAACAGGCCTGTTCATAGTAGACACACAATAAACTTTGACTAAATGAACAAATGAGTGGTTGTGTTCAAATTTCTACTCACATCATATAGGCCTAGGGATGTGTTACCCTTTATTCTTTTTATTTATTTATTTATTTATTTATTTATTTACTTATTTATTTATTTGAGAAGGAGTCTTCTTCTGTTGCCCAGTCTGGAGTGCAGTTGTTGGCTCACTGCAACTTCTGTCTCCCAGGTTTAAGTGATTCCCCTGCCTCAGCCTCCTGAGTAGCTGGGACTACAGGCGTGGGCCACCATGCCTGGCTAATTTTGTATTTTTAGTAGAGAGGGGGTTTCCCCATGTTGGCCAGGCTGGTCTCGAACTCCTGACCTCAGGTGATCCACCCGCCTCGGCCTCCCAAAGTGCTGGGAACACAGGCGCGAGCCACCGTGCCTGGCCTATTCTTTTAAGTTTGGATATCTTGTGCATTTGGTTTGTCCAATTCATCCTTTTGGCATATTCTTATGCAGTAGATATTAATAATCGAGAATATCCTATCGCTCTAGGATCACAGAGAAGAAAAGAAACAATTTAGGGTTGAAATTTAGCATTTACTATTAAAAATGCTGGGAATACTTATTTATGTTTTATCGTAGGAGTCCATGGCGATTGCCTTCTCACAGAAGTGTGCCAAATGACTGAAACTGTGATTCCAGAAGGCCAGGATGGTACTGGTGCTACACAGGAAGTCATGTCAGGGTGTTGATCTTGAAAACTCTGGCAAGAGGGTGGAGACAACTGTAGGCAATAACTACTGGGAATGAAAGGGATGGGAATTTGTGTGTTGTAGTCAGTTTCCTTGCCGCCTGAGATTGGCACCTGCAGCATCTTTGGCACGTGGACCAGGGATTGCCAACTGCCGACCTGTAGGACTGGTGTTTACTGTTGGCTGTGAGTGTAGAGTACCATTGTTAAATACAGGTTCTTGAGAATAGACAAAAAGGAAAGACATTTGGAATGCTGTCTCACTGGACTTCACAGCTCTCATGTTTTCGCAGCCAGCAGAGAAGTGTCTTACATCCCTTGCTTTCTTCATAAATTTTAAATAGCATTGGCTCATTTTTATCTGTGTTTTTCCAAGCTGTGTTTCTCTGTTTTTAATTTTTGAAATCATGTTGTGCCAAAAGAAGAAGTGAATCCTTGAACACGGTATGATTTGGTCAACAGAATACTGCCTCAGCATGAGAATGTCTGGGCTGTCACGACAATTCCCTCACTTACACACTGTGTGACCTCAGAAAAGTTGCTTAACTCCTCTGGACTTCCATTTCCACACATATAAAATAAAGAATTGAACTAGAAAAACTTTAAGGTCACCTCTTGTTTTCTAATTCCCTGTCTTTATTAGTTTCTTCACATTTCATATTAATTTGGATTTTCACTTTTGTCAAAGGAGTATAAAATAAATTCCATACAGAGAAAATGAAATGGACTTCTGAGGCTAACTGAATCTCTCTGACCTTAAATACAGTAGAACCCCAAAAATACGTACTGGCCAGGCACGATGGCTCATGCCTGTAATCCTAGCACTTTGGGAGGCCGAGGCAGGAGGATCACTTGAGGCCAGGAGTTTGAGACCAGCCTGGCGAATATGATGAACCTTTTCTCTACTAAAAATACAAAAACCAGCCAGGCATGGTGGCATGCGCCTGTAATTCCAGCTACTTGGGAGGCTGGGGCACAAGAATCGCTTGATCCTGCAAGGCAGAGGTTGCAGTGAGCCAGGATCATGCCACTGCACTCCAGCCTGGGTGACAGAGGGAGACTCTGTTTCAAAAAAGGAAAAAAAATAGTACATACTGAAGTAATTAATTAGTTGACTATTTTAGTGCTCTGGGAAATAGAAATTTCATAAGACTGGCTAAAAGGTAACACGAAATACCCACCTTAAGGAAAGAATATTACTAGGAATAACTTTGATTGGGAATGGTTCTAGGAACTAGACTAAAACATAAATATCTAGTTTTGTACCCATATTACCCACATTGTAGATATACTTTTAAGAGCTAGTATTTGCTGAGAGCTTATGAAATGTCAGGCATTGTGCTAAGGTACATGCATCATTATCATGTCTCAACTTCATAACAATTCTAGTACCTTTATTATTATTATTACAAAAGAAGAGATAGAGGTTCAGAGATAGTAAGAAACTTTTCTATGGTCACACAGCAAGTATCTGACATAACTTGGACTCTAATCCAGGTGAGCCTGACTCCATAACCACTGGGTCATATGGCCTCCCTCTATCCTGGACTTACAGAATCTTTTTCTGTGAACAGTTAAGTAAGGATCAAGAAAATCAGCCTTGAGATCTATTGTACAACTTGGTGATGATAGCTAATAACAATAGATTGTATTGTGAAAAATGTTGACAGAGTAGATTTTAAGTGTTCTCACCATAAAAATGACAAGGGTGTTAGATAATTCATATGGTAATTTGCCCAATTTAGTCATTCCACAATGTACATACATTTCAAAATATCATTTTCTACATGGTAAATCTATACAATTTTGTCAATTAAAAAATAAAACACTTATTTTACTTAATTTTATTTATTTATTTATTTATTTTTGAGATGGAGTTTTGCTCTTGTCGCCCAGGCTGGAGTGCAATGGCACAATCTCAGCTCACTGCAACATCCACCTCCCGATTCAAGGGCTTCTCCTGCCTCAGGCTCCTGAGTAGCTGGAATTACAGGCGGCCACCACCATGCCTGCCTAATTTTTTGCATTTTTAATAGAGACAGGGTTTCACCATGTTGTCCAGGCTGGTGTTGAATGCCTGACCTCAGGTGATCCACCCGCCTCAGCCTCCCAAAGTGCTGGGATTATAGGCATGAGCCACTGCAGCCGGCAGAAAAAAATAAAACGTTTAAAAAGTCCACCATCTTTACCACACACAAAGAAAAGAAAATCAGCTTTAAGAAAATGATTAAAATATAGCTAACGTAGTCCCCAATATATATAACAAGCAAAATAGTAATACACAAACCAGTTTTTTATTGGAAAAAAACACATAGATACAAGTAGAGACAGATAAACTATTTACAGTAGAACAAGTGACAGAGAATAATAAATGTAATGAAAGATGTATAGTTCCTCTAGTAAGTAATAAATTTTAAAGCACAAGATACCATTTTTCACCCATTAGATGGACAAAAATTAAAAGATGGATACTTTCTAGCATCGCTAAGCATGTAGGCAAGTGGATACTTCCCCACAGTCTTAATAGATTTCGGGGAAATTTGGTCATGTCTCTTCAAAAACTAAATTGTTAGTTTTGTTTTGATTTTTCAGAGACAGGGTTTCACTCTGTTGCCCAGGCTGGAGTACAGTGACGCAATCACAGCTCACTGCAGCCTCGGACTCCTGAGCTGAAAACAGCCTCCGACCTCAGCCTCCAGAGTAGCTGGAACTACAGGTGCAAGCCACCATGCCTGGCTAATTTTGTTGTTGTTGGTTGGTAGAGATGGGGTCTATATTGCTTAGGCTGGTATTGAATTCCTGGGCTCAAGTGATCCTCCCTCCTCAGTCTCCCAAAGTGCTGGGATTACAGGCATGAGCCACTGTGCCTGGCCTCAAAAAATAAAATGTGCATACCTTTTGATGCAGCAATTTCAATTCTAAGAACATATCCTACAGAAATATTCCCATATGCATAAATATATACATGTACATATATTTTAAGCAGAAGCAATACTTGTAAATTGATAAATAACCTAATATCAATAGTGAGGTTATTAAATAAAACATTGCAAATATATACAATGAAATATGCAACTCTTAATATAAATAAGTTTTACTAGTATATTAACATCTAATTAGATATTAATGTACAGTTAACATATAAACTAATATTACCATAAGCAAAATTTTCACAAAATGTGAAGTGAGGAAACAAAGTATATTGATACTGTGCTTTCTCATTCACTTAAAAACCTATAGATATGTGTATGTGTGAGAATATATATAGAGACATATACTAAAGCATGGGAAAATGTTTAAAATAATACACATTAAAGACTTAAAGAAGAGACCTCTCAAAATGTAGACTGAACCATGGGAAAGAATATTGCATTATTTGAAAATTTTACAGTAAACCAATGTTCATTCCTTGTTCAGAGGAGGTTTTCCTGACCAGCAGACATCACGCCATCAATTGGTGATTCAGGGACCCAGGGTCCTTACACCTCATGGATCTGCCCTCATTTCCACATGGTTCCCATTATTGTCATGTGTGTTGGAGGGAGACAAAGCATGAAAGTTTCAGTGACCTGGCCCAAAAGTGGACTCTTTATTTCTGCTCACATCCCATTGGCTAAGATTTGGTCACCATGGCAATAAAAAATGCAAGTGATTCTGAGAAATGTGGTCTGTATACCCAGGCATAAGAGGAACAATTCTGATAAACATCTAGCAGCCTGTGCCACAGGGAATCAGAGGTTCTGAGTTTCTAGCTCTCTGCCTCTTCAGGACAATAGTAAAACTCAAAAGAAGTAGAGGGACCAAGAGACTTGGGACTCCTCCACAGATCTCCATCATCAGCACCTCCATAGAATTTTTTTTCAATTTTATCTGAATATTTCAATTTTACCTGAATTTTTTTCAATTTTATCAGACAGTAGATTTTTTTTCAATTTTATCTGAAATACAATCCAAATAGAGCTTCAAGACAAATCCCCTAGCCCCCATTTCAGTACAAACATTCTGAAACTGCTACTGCCCTGATTACCTTCTGAGGGACCCAGACAAAGTCAACCCTGAACCATCAAGTCTCAAGATGTTGGGAAATCCTATAAACCTGGATTCAGGTGCGCCATGATCAGCCTTATCCTTATTTTCCTTCCCTGTCTGTAAAATGGTGATAAGACACCACCCCATTTATTTCAAGGAAATGTGAGCTTCACAAAAGGTAATATACACAGCACTTTGTAAGCTGAAAAGAAGTACTAAAAGTTATTCTTAATCATGAAGCATTGAGATCCATCTATTCTCTTCTCTCACCTTTGTTTTCTCCTTCCTTACTTTCTCTATGTATTATTTACCTGATCCCTTATAAAAGAGGTAAAGGATATACACCTACTATGTACCCACAAATATTAAAAGTGTTTTAAAAAATTTAATGTGGTATCTTAAACTAAAACCCACTACAATTTAGTCCCAGGGAAGGCAGTTCTAGGAAAGAGCCAAACAAGGACATATGAACAAAAGGTAATACTGGGCAATAGGACTGGATTTGAGGTAACCAAATCAGACAGGTGTATGATCCTTTCTTCTCAAAAAGTGGGTTGTGATAGGAGATCAGCCATTCCATGCTTTAAGGGGGTAGAGAGAATAAACAGGCTGAATTTCCAGCTATCCCAAATGTGTTTCCCATGGTGTTTGCATTGAACTGGAAGAGAAGAAAGGAAGTGATGACTAAGGTGGATGAAAGGCCAGGTGCAGTGGCTCATGCCTGCAATCCCAGCACTTCGGGAGGCCAAGGCGGGTGGATCACTTGAGGGCAGGACTTCGAGACCAGCCTTGCCAACATGGTGAAACCCCATCTCTACTAAAAATACAAAAATTAGCCGGGCGTCATGGCGCATGCCTGTAAAACCAGCTACTCGGGAGGCTGAGGCAGAATTATCACTTGAACTCGGGAGGCAGAGGTTGCAGTGAGCCGAGATTGCACCATTGCACTCCAGCCTGGGTGGCAGAGGGAGATTCCGTCTCAAAAATAAATAAATAAATAAAATCAGGTAAATGAAGGGTTAAAATACTAAGTAATGAACTCTTCTGGCATGCAGAAGACATCTAGCACTCCATGCCTGCGTGGCTCAACCCTTCCCCATCAGATACAGCAGAACAAAATGTTAGCGTGTGGGCAATGAAAGTCAGTTAGCAGGCTGTAGCAATGCCACTGATGGAATACTATGACCTCAGAAGCTATCTGCCTTTTTTTGAAGCCAACAACTATCCAGTAGGATTTTAGAGGCACTCAAAGCCTTACAATTATCTCTCCCTCCTGCCTTCACATATTCAGAATGTCTTTAGCAAGACAATCTTGTTTCACAATCACAGACAAACTTCCCACGCCAATGTATATGTTCATATAGATAGGTTGTGACTAGCAGGTAATAAGTGTCCTGTTTTGATAAGACTTCGAGTCCTAGATACCTGAAGAGGGTGTGCAGGAAGGGAGGCTAGGGCTCCCCCAACAATTTCATCTATTTTAAACCTTGTCACTTCTGAAACCTGTAATCCCACCAGATTTTTAGCTGTCATTTAAGTCTCTGAAACCTGCCAGGAGCTTTTCTTAATGCAAAAAACAAACAAAACAAATGTCCACTAAGTTCCACCAATACAGGACTGATTAAGTAAAGACCAGTATCTTCATACAATGGAATACCATAAAATTATCAACCAACAGTAAACAATATGGATGGTCTCTAGATCTTACATTGAAAAATCTCCAAGACCCATTCAGAAAAGCAAGAAAAAAGGAAGGGGGTGGATAAACTCTATCTAGATGTGCTTACATATGCATAAAGTCATTCTAGAGGAATACAGAAGAAACTAGGAAGAGAGAGGTTGAAAACAGGGAAGACGGTGACAAGCAGCGGCATATCTAGGCCTGAAGCTTATACAATTTGGGGCAGCTTCTTTAAGAAACAGAATGTGAATGTATGAATACAAAATTAGTTCAGAGCTTTGGAAGGGACTCTTGGAAGGGGTTCTAAGCTTAAGCTTTGCTAGCTTCATGGTAAATCCACTACTGGGGACAAGTAGGAAAGGGAGAATACAAAAAAAATATTTTTGAAAGCTGATTGAAATCTGAGTCATTTATATCTATTCATAAAACTTAATTTTAAAAAAATCAATGTATTTGCCAAAATAGCTCTGGAGAAAGATAACTGACTAGGTGACCAGGCCTCATGAAAAATTTGAGTTCCTATAACCAAATTCATAAAAGGAACACTGCAAAAATGACAACAGTAACCACTGAAATATAATATTTCACCTATTACATTAGCAAAGTCAAAAAGTTTTAAAGGCTGGGTGTGGTGGCTCATGCCTGTAATATCAGCACTTTGGGAGGCTGAGGTGGGAGGATCACTTGAGCCCAGGAGTTCAAGACTACCTTGGGCAACATAGGGAGACTCTGTCTACAAAAAGTAAAAAATCAGCCATGCATAGTGGTGCATTCCTGTGGGAGGCTGAGGTGGCAGGATTACTTGAGCCTGGGAAGTCGAAGCTGCAGTGAGCTGTAATCACGCCATTGCACTCCAGCCTGGGCAACAGAGTGAGACCCTGTCTCAGAAAAAAAAAAAGTTTTAAAAACATACAGTTAGTGAGGCATGGAGTGTCATACATTGCTGTAATTTGGTATAAATGACCTGCATGGAGAAAAGTTTGCCAAAGTCTCCCACAATTACAAATGCACCATTTGACACAGCAATTCTACTTCCAGGAATATAGCCCACAGGTAGACTAGCATGTGTGCTATGCAACAGATGTAAAGGTTATTCACTGCAGCATTGTTTGTACTGCCAAACTACTGGGAAAAACCTCAGCAGGAGACTACACCCATTCAATAAAATCTTGTACAGCTGAAAAATAAATAAGGAAACTATGTGCTAATATAGAACAATCTTCAACCTATATTTTTAAATGAAAAATGCAAGTTTTGAAATATTTTGTGGACTATCATTGATGTAATATATTTCCTGTAAGTGCAAAATATTTTTGGAAGCATTTCACAAACAACTTGTAATATTGGTGCCTTGAGAGAAGATAATTGGATAGCTGGGAAACATGTGGAGGCAGACATTTACTTCTGTGCTTTTAGCTTTTTTGAAGGATGTCAATGTGTAATTTTTTCAAAATATGTCTTGAAGATAAACATAGATCTTTAAAATTTGCAAAATTCACACCAGCCTTAAATTCTAATCAAGCCTGAGACTGTTCAGAGGGAAGCCTGGTGAAGCCCCAAAGCTTTACATCAATTCCACGTTTGATGCAGATCAAACTAGGGATAAGAAAGGTTGAGAACATTGGGCATTTTTTCCCCTCCACTGGAGGGTATACTACTTACATTAAAAAGACTCATTATTTATTAAATGATTCAATGATTTCGTGATTCTAAATAAAACCTTTTCCAGGGACTTTTTTTTTTTTTTGAGATGGGGTCTCACTCCGTCACCCAGGCTGGAGTGTAGTGGTGCGATTACAGTTCATTACAACCTCGAACTCCTGGGCTCAAGTGATCCTCCTGCCTCAGCCTCTGTTCCAGTTCTTCTGTGGGCTCCCAATCCAATGCTTTAGATTCTCAATAATGAAGGGACCTCCTTTTCCCAAGCCCTTTATCAATGAACTCTATTAAGAAGAGAAGTGTCTGATTCACCAGAGGAGACAGAAAAGAACATTGGTACCCAGTGAGTGTTCCTTTATTTAGAAGGCAAGATCCCTTGGGACATGATTAAAATCCAAACCTGAGGACACACATTCTAAAACAAGTGAGATGGGAAGAATATTGGATCCTAAGTACGGTAATTATTCTAAAAAGAAGAAAGTTGCCAGTGCCAGCCTGGGCAGCATAGAGAGACCCCATCTCTACAAAAAATTAGCTGGGTATAGTGGCACACTATGCTACTCGGGAGACTGATGCAGGAGAATTGCTTGAGCCTGGGACTTCGAGACTGTATTGAGCTATGATCACACCACTGCACTCCAGCCTGGGGGACAGAGTAAGACCCTACCTCGAAAGCAAAACAGAAAGAAAGCTGCAGCTGGTGGAGAATGCTAACTCCACCCTCATACAATTAGAATATATGAGAAGTCTTTTGCTACTAATAGATGGTGCATTCCAGGAGTGATTTAGAGCTATGAAGTCATATCAAGATTTACTTTTTTTTTTAAGATGACTAAAATTTTCAGAGCAAGCTTGTGATCCAATGCATTTATTTCCACAAGATGGTGCTATAGCTTCTGCTAAGTACAAAACTCACATTTCCTTTAGGAACTAGAAATACAAAATATGTTTCTAATGGAGAACCAAATGTGCATACGCTCTGGTGAGTCTGTCAAAGAAACACATTGTGCAAAAACGTCCCGGTGGAGGTGGAGGTTGATTTAGGCCTAAAGGGTGAAGATTGTTCCAGGTAATAATACTTTCCGCCACCTCCACACATACCTGAGTTGATGTCTCAAGGCGTCATGCAGCCTTCAGCCTCCTCTTTGTCCAAAATACTGCTCTTCCTACTATCAGGAGTGGGTGTGTGTGTGTTTGTTTGTGTGTGTGTGTGTGTGTGTGTGTGTGTCAGACATGGGATTGAGGAGTGGCCCAGAGCTCCCACCACCATGGAAATGCAGCTCCCATGGCCACCCACACTTCCACCCAGGGGCAGCTCAAGGCTCGCCCCTTCAATAGAGCCTTTCCTTGCCACTCTGTCCCACATGAATCACACCTGCCTAGGGGTACAAATAATAATGCAACAGAATGTTTTAGAATACCATTTTTCCATTTCCATCTAAGTGTGCCAAGTGTTGGCGGGGGGGGTGTGGTGGGCAGAGTCCATTTTATAGCCCACAGCAATGAGGATCCTACCTTGAAATTATGCACAGTGATGATATCACAAATGCTGGCAATCTCAAGCAAGTATTCAGCCACCTTGGTTGGCAGCCTGGGTGACTGGGAGGATGCTGGCCCCGGTTGGCCACTACTTGGACCTAGAAATATGTTAAGTCATCACCTCTTTGGAGTTGTTTGATCATCTCTACCAGGACAGGATTAAACTGTTCTGATTTTTTTTAATATCTTGTTTTAATGACTTTAACATCTTCAGTATCCCTCTCCTGACAGAGTCATAGAGGTGGGAATATTTGCATCACAAGGGAAATAGAAGGATGTCTCTGCTGAAGTGAATGGCACCTCCCTTCCTATTCATCTTTATTCTTTAAAAAAATTTTTTCTGTCCAGGCGTGATGGCTCATACCTGTAATCCCAGCACTTTGGGAGGCCAAGGTGGGTGGAACATTTGAGATCAGGAGTTTGCGATCAGCCTGGCCAACATGGTGAAACCCCACCTCTACTAAAAACACAAAAATTAGCCGGGAGTGGTGGTGGGCATCTATAGTCCCAGCTACTCGGGAGGCTGCGACAGGAGAATCGCTTGAACCTGGGAGGTGGAGGTTGCAGTGTGCTGAGATCACACCACTGCACTCCAGCCTGGGTGACAGAGCGAGACTCTGTCTCAAAAAGAAAAAAAAAATTTTAAATAGAGATAGGGTCCCACTATGTTTCCCAAGCTGGTCTTGAACTCCCGGGCTCAAGCAGTCCTTCCGCCTCCACCTCCCAAAGTGCTGAGATTACAGGCGTGAGCCACTACACCGGTCTCATCTTTATTCTTGTCTCCATTTTTCTCTATTTTATTCTGTGCCTCTGTGCCTTGGCAGTCAAAAATGTGACATAGCTGTACAGTCAGCCCTCCTTATCCACAGGCTCCACATCGTAGCTTCAACCAACAATGGATCAAAAAATTCAGGAAAAAAAATGGATGGTTGTGTCTGTACTGAAAATGTACAGACTTTTTTTCTTGTTATCGTTCCCTAAACAACACAGTATAACGACTATTTTCATAGGATTTACATTGTACTAGCTATTAATCTAGAGATGTCTTAAAGTGTACAGGAGGATGTGCATAGGTTATAGGCAAAGACTAAGCCATTTTATGTCAGAGACTTGAGCATCTGGGGATTTTGGTATCTGCAGGGGGTGGGAAGGGTCCTTGGAACCAATCCCCTAGGATGACTGGACATGGTGGATCACTCCTGCTCTCTTTTGCTACCATATCCTCTCCACTGCCACAGAGGTAAGGGCAGGGTAAGTGGAAGCCTAGGGCCACAGAGACAACAGGGTACTCTGGGCTCACCATCAAGAGTAGAGAAGGAAACCTGTTGTGCTCCTCTAGGAGTAGAGGATGCCTTTTGGAAGATAAGTGGGATAACATGGATTAGGATGGAAAAGAATACTCATACCTAAGAACAATCACTGACTGGGGACTTTGACAGTGGATGGAACACCTCAAGAAATAGGCATCAAGGACGTGAGACGAGGGATGAGGCCGAAGACTTTCTATCAGCAAAAAGGAAGGACAGAGTTAGGCTGAACTAAAGACATTTCTGTGTTCAAAATAAACAGCATGCTGTTATTGGGTTTGTCTTATATTATTATGTCTATCAGAAGAAGAGTACACAAAGATACAACTTACTTATACATACTTATAACTTACACAACTTACTTATTATGTCTATCAGAATACACAAAGATACAATTTATTCTTTGAATAGCAGCAGATTTTAGTCTAAAACAGAAAAGATACAAAAAAAAGTAATGTGTGTTTTCTAGCTTCTCCCAAATAGAAAAAAAATAAAATATATATGTATAAAATGATAACAAAAATATTTGGCTTTAAGCCCTCATCACAGGAATTCTTGGAACCCTCTCTCTTCCGACAGATGTAAGAGGCAGTATAAACATCTTTGTATGTGTCAGTATGTATTTGTGTGTGTTGGGTTCTCATCTGATACCAAAAAGACTACCATATTACTCATAAATATATAAACAGAGACATATACATTTAATAAATTCAAGATAGATTTTAAAATAGGGCAATAGAAAAATAAGAATAGAAGATATAAAAGTTCACAAAATATACTTCACTATAAAATGCATCTTTGAAAGGTAGGTTACAATTTTGCTATTCAATTCTATTCTCCAATTCAGAAGGGAAATGTGAGCGGTATAAATTTTCCTCAGACTAGCCTTGCTTTCTCAGTTTCTTCTAGAACTTATGCTAATACAACTTGTTGTTCAGATGCAATTTTCATAACCTTCTAATTTGAGAAAATAGAAGCACCATCTTCAAGGATAAAAGTCAGTTGAAATTCAGTTCCCCACTCAAATTTACTTCCCACCAATAATTACCTAATGTCCTACAATTCACTGGGTGTGGGAACTTCTACTCTCTCCCATCTCAGGGTTAGTTTGATGCCTACTTGCAGTTTTCTTTCAGAGGTTAAAGGGTAATGACTGCCTCCCTTGATTGAATAATCTTAACTTGTATGTTCTGGGGACTCATTTGTTTCTTATATAAAACCAAACCCCTGACAGATTACCTTGATATACAGTGAGCAGTGGAATTAGTGAGTCCCCAACTTTTGCAATGTATAGCACCCTCCAAATGCCAAAAAAAATTAGCGATGAAATAGAAAGGAGAACAAAGAAGAGGGTGATCGTATTAGTCCATTTTCACGCTGCTGATAAAGACATACCCAAAACTGAGGAGAAAAAGAGGTTTCATTGGACTTACAGTTGCACATGGCTGGGGAGGCCTCAGAATCACAGTGGGAGGCAAAAGGTACTTCTTATATGGCAGCGGCAAGAGACAATGAGAGAGAAACAAAAGCAGAAACTCCTGATAAACCCATCAGATCTCCTGAGACTTATTCACTATCACAAAAATAGCATGGGAAAGACCGGCCCCCATGATTCAATTACCTCCCCCTGGGTCCCTCCCACAACACCTGGGAATTCTGGGAGATAACAATTCAAGTTGAGATTTGGGTGGGGGCACAGCCAAACCATATCATTCTGCCCCTGGCCCCTCCAAATCTCATGTTCTCACATTTCAAAACCAATCATGCCTTCCAAACAGTCCCCCAAAGTCTTAACTCATCTCAGCATTAACCCAAAAGTCCGTAGTCCAAAGTCTCATCTGAAACAAGGCAAGTCCCTTCTACCCATGATCCTGTAAAATCAAAAGCAAGCTAGTTACTTCCTACATACAATGGGGATACAGGTAATGGGTAAATACAGCCATTCCAAATGGGAGAAAGTGCCCACAACAAAGGCGTTACAAGCCCCATGCAAGTCCAAAATCCAGCGAGGCAGTCCAATTATAACGTTCCAAAATGATCTCCTCTGACTCCATGTCTCACATCCAGGTCACAATGATGCAAGAGGTAGGTTCCCTTAGTCTTGGGCAGCTCTGCCCCTGTGGCTTCACAGGGTATAGTCCCCACTCCTGGCTGCTTTCACGGGCTGGCGTTTAGGGTCTGTGGCTTTTCCAGGTGCACGGTACAAGCTGTCGGTGGATCTACCATTCTGGGGTCTGAAGGACGGTGGCCTTCTTTGCACAGCTCCACTAGGTGGTGCCCCAGTAGGGATTCTGTGTGGGGGCTCCAACCCCACATTTCCCTTCACACTGCCCTAGCAGAGGTTCTCCATGAAGGCTCTGCCCCTGGAGCAAACTTTTGCCTGAGCATCCAGGTGATTCCATACATCTTCTGAAATCTAGATGGAGGTTCCCAAACCTCAATTCTTGACTTCCATGCACCTGCAGGCTCAACACCACATGGAAGCTGCCAAGGTTTGGGGCTTGCACCCTCTGAAACCACGGGCAGAGCTGTACCTCGGCCCTTTTAGCAATGGCTGGAGCAGCTGGGATGCAGGGCACCAAGTCCCTAGGCTGCACACAGCATGGGGACCCTGGGCCTGGCCCACAAAACCATTTTTTCCTCCTAGTCTTCAGGGTCTGTGATGGGAGGGGCTGCCATGAAGACCTGTGACATGCCCTGGAGACATTTTCCCCATTGTCTTGGAGATTAACATTCAGCTCCCTGTAACTTATGCAAATTTCTGCAGCCAGCTTGAATTTCTCCTCAAAAAACAGGTTTCTCTCTTCTGCTGCATCAACTGGCTGCAAATTTTCCAAATTTTTATGCTGTTTCCCTTTTAAAATGAAATGCTTTTAACAGCACCCAAATCACCTCTTGAATGCTTTGCTGCTTAGAAATTTCTTCAGCCAGATACCCTAAATCATCTCTCTCAAGATCAAAGTTCCACAAATCTCTGTGGTAGGGGCAAAATGCCACCAGTCTCTTTGCTAAAACATAACAACAGTCATCTTTGCTCCAGTTCCCTACAAGTTCCTCATCTCCATCTGAGACCACCTCAGCCTGGACCTTATTGTCCATAGCAGTATCCGCATTTTTGTCAAAGCCATTCAACAAGTCTTTAGGAAGCTCCAAACTTTCCCACATTTTCTTGTCTTCTTCTGAGCCCTCCAAACTGTTTCAACCTCTGCCTGTTACCCAGTTCCAAAGTCGCTTCCACATTTTCAGGTATCTTTTCAGCAGCGCCCCACTCCACTGGTACCAATTTACTGTATTAGTCAGTTTTCATACTGCTGATAAAGACATATCCAAGACTGGGAAGAAAAAGAGGTTTAACTGGACTTACAGTTGCACATGGCTGGGGAGGCCTCAGAATCATGGTGGGAGGCAAAAGGCACTTCTTACATGGCAGTGGCAAGAGAAAACGAGAGAGAAGTAAAGGTGCAAACCCCTGATAAACCCATCAGATCTCGTGAGACTTAATTCACTATCATGAGAATAGCATGGGAATTCATCATTGAATCAATCATTGAAAAGAATTAGCAGAGGACTGATAAATAAGCATAGAAAGATAGGAAGAGCATTTCAGATTCAATTACCTCCCCGTGGGTCCCTCCCATAACATGTGGGAATTCTGGGAGACACAATTCAAGTTGAGATTTGGGTGGGGACATAGCCAAACCATATCAAGGATAGTCATTTTTTCTCTGCTGTCATATTTATGGCAAGGTTCATTGTTCACTCATCTGGTCTCCATAGTTAAAACATTTCTTTGAAAATACTTTAACCAGATTCATAATATTTTATAAGATATGTAATAAACTGAATGTTTGTGTTCTTTCCTCCACCCTCCCATTCACATAGGAAGCTCTAACCTCAATGCAATGGTATTGGGAGGTGGGGCATTTGGAAAATAATTGTGCTTAGATGAGGTCAGGAGGGTAGATCCCCCTTGATGGGATTAGTGCCCTTATAACTAGAGGAAGAGACACCAGACCTTTCTCTCTGCAGAATATGAGAAGGCAGCCATCTGCAAGCCAGGAAGAGAGCCCCCATCATGAGTCAAATCTATTGGCATCTTGATCTTGGACTTACTAGCCTCCAGAACTGTGAGAAATAAGCGTCTGTTGTTTGAGCCAACCAGCCTATGGGATTTGGTTACAGCAACCCAAGATGACTAATATAACATCTTCACAATTCAGCAAATACATATATAAATTTATTTTACAGATGAATAGAAAGATTAGTTGCTTTTCTAGAACCACATGACCAGTATAGGATCAAAATCTCATTCTCTTCATGGTGAACTTACTCAATTATTTGTTCAACTTAATCAATTATTTGCTAACTGATCACCTACTGCATACTAGAAGCTATGCTCAGCTTTCAGTCACAAAGATAGAGAATGTATGGTCCCAAATCTTAAGAAGCTTGCAATGGAAAATAAGCAGACAAGAAAATAAAAATAAATTAGTTACAATATCACAGCATTAAAAATGTACTAACAGAAGGCTATACTGAATACGTTAAGGTGCCACAGAATGAAAGATAACCATTCTACTTGGAGAAGTCAGGAAAAGTTTCAGAGATAAGGTAACATGAATTCATCATTGAAAAGAATTAATAGAGGTTTGATAAATAGACAGAGAAAGGTAGGAAGAGCATTTTAGACACAGAGAATACTGTCTAGCAAGATCCAGGAATAAAAAAAGAACTGGCATATAATGGTTTGACAAACAATCAGGTATGGCTTGAGCACAAAGCATGTATGGTAGAGACAGAAAAAGATAGTGACCAAGGGGAAGCCTGGGAATGAAGGCAGGAGTCAGACTGTGAAAGGCCTTTATATTGCACTCAGTACAATTTTTGTAAAATAAATGAACTGTCATTTTAAAAGCCTAACTTTCCTTGTGTGTTGCCTTTGCCTTTGTCTAACATTACCAAGAGCACCTATACCTGTGTCCAATCTTGCTCCAGTCCTAAGGGTAGCTGGGTCTTGGTATTCAAATTCTCTTTTCCGCTTTTAGGGATCCAAGCTCAGCTCATCAGCAGTTAAGAGGTCTAAGTGCTTGCTTCATTTCTGAGGAGAAGAAAGTACCAGGAAGACAACCAATCCTATGGTACTTCATAACTATGGCTTGGAGACCCAAGTCAAGCTTTTTAGTCTGACCACCACTCTGGCAGTGAAGGCTTCCAAAATGCATGTGTAAATTTGAGCTAAGAGTGGGTGTCCAGAAGAAGCCATAGTAAATAGCAAAAAGCTATGTTCAAAAACATCTATGTGGTCTGAGGAAAACTGGGGAGGGTACCAACTAAGGCTAATTGAGCCACTTTGGGGAATTAATTGATCACACCGAGGAAGATAGCCATGTAAAGGAATTGGCTGCCCCTTCCCTTGGTCCTTGTGGTGGGGTGTCTACTGGAACTGTCGTGGATGTTGCCATGAAGCCTCTATATGGACCCAAATATCATAGCAGCCCATTCTGCTTTATGTATCCTGCTCATTCATTCATTCATTCAACAAACAAACATTCATTGATCACTTACCATGCAATGTTTTAAACACTGGGAATACAGAGACGAAAGATGCAGCCTCTGCTCTTGAGAAACACAGCATAGCGAATAAATTAAAATCAAGAACATTTCTCTAGACAAGGAAAACTCACTAGAAAAACAGAATTCAAAAATAAGATCTAATTCACAATAGCATAAAAATCTATAAAGTATTGATAACCTTATTTAATAAAAAAATAAAGAAAAAGTTTTAAATTAGTCTAAAGAACATATAAGATGAGAAGAATAATTGGGGAGACAGTCTATACTTTTGGGAAGGGTGGTTTATTATCATAAAATCTCAATTCTCCCCCAAATTAACCTCAAGTAAGATTTCAGTTGGGTTTTCTGAGGATCTCTGAAAACCTCTATAATCTACATGGAAAAATAAAGGTCCACAAATAACTAAATAAACGTTGAGAAAGAGGAGAAAAGTAGAAGTAGGGGAGGGAGTGTCCCAACCAAATCCATGGATGTACTACAAAGCCACTGTCATAGAAACAATTTCGAGCAAGAACATTTAAATGGACAAGTAGAACAGAACAGAGGGCAAGCGTCAGAAACAGACTCATCTACTTATAAGAATGTAATACATAATAAAGTTGGTAGCATAAATCAAGAAAAGATGAACATTGGAGTTTAAAAACTGACATAATAGACTGACATAATTAAGTATCTACTCAATATCATTAGACTAAAAAATAGACTCAGGATGGAAAATAAAGCTGTTAAGATAATATAGAAGAATTAATGTGTGGCAAAATTGTTACACATTTCTGTTCAGATTACTAGGAGACAATGTTTTCAATATCTAAAACTTACAGATAACTAACATTGAGATTATACAAGTGACAGGGCCAGATTTGCAACTCAAAAAGATCACCTAAGGGTGCAGCAAACTGTATCTACTCTTTCTCTTCTTTTTCTTTTTCTTTTTGAGATAGGGTCTCATTCTGTCACCCAGGCTGGAGTACAGTGACATGATCCTGGCTCACAGCAGCCTCAACCTCCTTGGCTCAAGCCATCCTTCCACCTAGGCTTTTGCAAGGCAACAAGAAAGTTTTGCAAGGATACAAGAAAGTTTTGCAAGGCAACAGGAAAATGAGAGTAACTCAACAGAAAAGTAGACAAAGGCATGATAGGCAATGTGAATAATCACATGACAACAAATTTACTGAGATCCTCAACCCACTAGTAACCAGAGAAATGAAAATTAAACAGCAGTGTAATACCGCTTTGAAGCTACTCAACTGATCAAAACATGCCCAGTGTTGTTGGGGACATGGGGCTACAAAGACTCTTGCACTGTGATGAACACACAGTCAGTGCAGCCATTCGAGGGAGCAACAGCCAGGATCTGGCTAAATAAGCACACCATCGCTTTCCAACCCCAGAATTCTGATCTTGGATGTTCACATCCCACAGAAATTCTCACACAGGTCCGTAAAGGATGTATACAAGGCTGCTCATTACAGCATCGTTTGTGATACAGGGAAGGTGAAAGGATTTGGGTGGCCACCACTGAAAGTGAGAATAGGTAAAATATGATGAATTCAGACTGTGGAACAAAAGCACTGGTTAGAAGCAAAAGACTACAGATACACAAAGGAAAATGAGTAGATGTTTAAAACTCGTCCTAATTTTAAAAAGTAAAAAGTGTAAAGTCGATAAAAGACAGCATTTATGTAAATTAAAAACACATACAAACAGTGCAGAATTCGTTATAATAAGAAAGGAATAAGTAAACTAAGGCAGGAGCTTGAACAAACCAAAGAAACCAAATGATACCGTGCCATGAAGATTTCAAGGAATTCTATTTTCTGCAACTGTCCTCCCCCAATTTACCAAAATAGGTACACTGCAATAAAACCTACAAAGTGCCTTTATAGAGATTAGCTCTAGTGCTCGCTTCAGCAGCACGTATACCATATAAATTAAAAAATACATACATAAAATACATTAGCTCTAAAGAGTGTGGATGTTTGGAGGAGAGAATAAGAAAAGGCTTCACCAAGAAGGTAACAACAGAGATGGATCTTGGAGGACTTGTAAGAGTTCATAGAAAGTAGGGAAAAGGGGAGTGTAATCTGAGGGCAACTGTAAAAGCAAAGGTTTCTAAATACAAGCAAAAGATAAGAAAGGAGAGAATAGGCTGGGTGCAGTGGCTCATACCTACAATCCCAGCACCTTGGGAGGCTGAGGTGGGAGGATCACTTGAGCCCTGGAGTTTGACAGCAGCCTGTGCAACATAGTGAGACCCCATGTCTACAAAAAAAATTAAAAATGAGCCAGGTGTGGTGGTGCATGCCTGTAGTCCCAGCTATTGGGGAGACCAAGGTAGAAGGATGGCTTTAGCCCAGGAGGTTGAGGCAGAAGTGAGCCATGATCACATCACTGCACTCCAGCCTGGGTGACAGAATGAGACCCTATCTCAAAAAGAGAAAGAAGGGAAAGAATTGATACAACTTGCTGCACCTTTAAGTGATCTTTTTGAGATGAAAATCTGGCCCTGTCACTCTCCCTTAGATCCTTCAATGGATTACCTTGCCCTCAAAATAAAGATCAAATTCCTTAACATGGTCTACTAGGCCCACGTGATCCCTGGTCTCTGCTCACATCTTCAGTTTCATCTTGTGCTATGGGATTTCCACCTCTGTCCTCCAGATCTGAAATTTTCTAGCTTTCCTTCAATGACACTCCTGCCTCCAAATTACAGATTTCTCAAACCCTCCAGAAGAGGTCATTCTCAGGTTTTATATATATATACTTTCAGAAATCAAAGACAAAATTCTGAGACCTCCCAACCATCTGAAAGGACACCTCCTCTAGGCCAAAGGCATTCCAAAGTTAAGCTGAAAAACTGTTTCAGGCTGTGATGGAAGTGGGGGTCAGACATGCCTCATTATGCCCTCCTCTTTTTTGGAATTCAGGAAGAGCCGACCGGCACTAACATCAACACAGACCTAAGGCCTGATAAGAAACATTTACCATATCTTTCCTGTTCCTCACCCTGATCACGCTTCATTTACTGATGGCAGCTCCACCAGGCCTAATCGCCACACACCAGCAAAGGCAGGCTATGCTATAGTACAAGCCACTAGCCCGCCTTTCAGAACCTCTCATTTCCTTTCCATCATGGAAATCTATCCTCAAGGAAATAATTTCTCAGTGTTCCATCTGCTATTCTACTATTCCTCAGGGATTATTCAGGCCCCCTTCCTTCCCTACACAGCAAGCTCGAGGATTTGCCCCCACCCAGGACTGGCAAATTAGCTTTACTCAACACGTCCGGAGTCAGGAAACTAAAATCTTAATCTCTCCCAATCTAGGTTCCCACGCCGCCCCTAATCCCGCTTGAAGCAGCCCTGAGAAACATCGCCCATTCTCTCTCCATATCACCCCCCAAAAATTTTTGCCACCCCAACACTTCAACACTATTTTGTTTCATTTTTCTTATTAATATAAGAAGGCAGGAATGTCAGGCCTCTGAGCCCAAGCCAAGCCATCACATCCCCTGTGACTTGCAGGTATAGGCCCAGATGGCCTGAAGTAACTGAAGAATCACAAAAGAAGTGAATATGCCCTGCCCCACCTTAACTGATGACATTCCACCACAAAAGAAGTGTAAATGGCCGGTCCTTGCCTTAACTGATGACATTACCTTGTGAAAGTCCTTTTCCTGGCTCATCCTGGCTCAAAAGCACCCCCACCGAGCACCTTGCGACCCCCACTCCTGCCCACTGAGCACCTTGCGACCCCCACTCCTACCCACCAGAGAACAAACCCCCTTTGACTGTAATTTTCCTTTACCTACCCAAATCCTATAAAACGGTCCCACCCTTATCTCCCTTCACTGACTCTCTTTTCGGACTCAGCCCGCCTGCACCCAGGTGAAATAAACAGCCATGTTGCTCACACAAAGCCTGTTTGGTGGTCTCTTCACACGGACGCGCATGAAAATAATACCTACCTCATACATCTGTCATGTAACACTTTAGTGTTCTATATTTGCATAGCTGTATCCTTCCATTAGTTTGTATAGAGCTGACTTAGTATTTTTGGTTGAATAAATGTTGAATGACCTGGCAAAAAAAAAAAAAAAAAAAAGAAACATTTACCATCTATTCTCTCTGAAACCTGCCACTTGGAAGCTTCATCTACATGATAAAACCTTGGTCTCCACAACCCCTTAACATATCCCAGACATTCCTATTGATAATAATTATTTTGACCAGTTACAAATCAGAAAATTTATAAATCTACCTATGACCTGCAAGCCCTCCTACCCCCGCCCTCAAATTGTCCCACCCTTCCAGATTGAACCAATGTAAATCTTACATGTATTGATTGATGTATTATGTCTCCCCAAAAATGTATAAAAGCAAGCTGTACCCTGACCACCTCGGGCACGTCATCGGAACCTCCTGAAACCCTGTCATGGGTATATCCTTAACTCTGGCAAAATAAACTTTCTAAACTTTCTTTGAGACTTGTCTCAGGTACTTTTGAGTTCACACTTTTTAGCATCCATCAAAATTATAGTAATTTATTATTAAGTAATCATTTGTTTAATGTTTATGCAGGCATAACCTAGGTCCTTGAGATCAAAGACCATGTGCACAACTATATCCCTAGCCCCTCATTCAACGCTTTGCACAATATGGGTTGAGTATCCCTTATCTGAAATGCTTGGGACCAGAAGTGTTTTGGATTTTGGATTTCTTTGGATTTGGGAATATTTGCAGGTACTTAGCCAGTTGAGCGTCCCAAGTCCAAAAATCCCAAATGTCAAATGTTCCAATGAACACTTCCTTTGAGTATCATATTTCACAATTTGGAGCATTTTGGATTTGAGATTTGGGGATTAGGTCTGCTAAACCTATACATGTGTTGAATGACTGCATAAATTAAGGAATGGAGTAGGAGTGCTTTGGTTGGGGTGGGAACCAGTGATTCTGTTTCAGACAGCTACCCGTGATAGTAGCAGCTAAATAAGAGTTGGGGTCAATTATGGAACCACTGGCCCTGTTCTTTCTCTCAATGTTCTACACAATGGGATCCTCAGTGTATCCACTGGGGGAACGAGATAAAAATATTAGAGCTTTCAATGACATTTATTTGTACCTCATTATTTTAAAACATCTGTGTTTGCATATCATACAGAAGTACACATATATAATTCATAAATAAATAAAACATGCATATACTGGGGAAATGCCTGCTCAAAATTTTTTTATTGACAGGAGGTAGAATGAAAGATGTTTAAAAATCACTGCTGTGGGTCAGAGAGTTTCCACTATTATTAGGCATCCAAATCAGCAAGGAGCTATTTTCAAATAGTTCTGTTTGACCCCAAACCTACAGAATTAAAACTCCGTGGGTTTAGGGCAATGGCAAATTCAGAATGCTGATCAGATGATTATGATGGAAGCCTCTGCTAAAGAACCACTGCTTTTCTATCAGGATTCCTAAACCTGGCTTCTCATCCTAATCATAATCATCTTAAAAACAAACAACAGTCAGGCCCAGTGGCTCATGCCTGTAACCTCTGCACCCAGGGAAGCCAAGGGAGGAGGATCCCTTGAGGCCAGGGGTTCAAAATCAGTCTGGGAAAATAGAGAGTACTGAGACCCCATCTCTACAAACAAATTAAAAATTAGCTGTACATGGTGGTGTGTACCTGTAGTCCCAGCTACCAGGGAGGCTGAGGTGAGAGGATGGCTTGAGCCCAGGAGTTCAAGGCTGCAGTGAGCTATGATCACGCCACTGCACTCCAGCCTAAGCGACATAGCAAGACTCTGTCTCATAGATAGATAGATAGATAGATAGATAGATAGATAGATAGATAGATTGATAGACAGATGGATTTTAAGGAAATTTTGCTGATTTGCCAGGTTTGGGAGCCACTGTGTCAGAAGTGTTCAAACCACAGTGACTCCATCATAAATAGGGACTTGATAAAACAAAGCTGAGACCTATGGGGCTACATTCCCAGGAGGTTAGGCGTTCTTAGTCACAGGATGAGATAGGGGTCGGCACAAGATACAAGTCACAAGGACCTTGCTGATAAAACAGGATACAGTAAAGACACCAGCCAAAACCCACCAAATCCAAAACAGTGATGAAAGTGACCTCTCTGGTCATCCTTACTGCTCATTATATGCTACTCATAATTCATTAGCATGCGAAAAGACACTCCCACCAGTGCCATGACAACTTAAAAATGCCAGGCAGTGTCTGAACTTTAGACCCTATAGGGTCTAAAGTGGAGAGGAACCCTCAGTTCTGGGAACTGCCTGTACCTTTCTTGGAACACTCATGAGTAATCCACCCATTGTTTAGCATATAATGAAGAAATAACTGTAAGTATACTCAGTCGAACAGCCCATTCTTTTATTCCTTTGCTTTCTTAATAAACTTGCTTTCCCTTTACGGGCTTGCCCCAAATTCGTTCTTGTGCAAGGCCCGTGAACACTCCCTTGGGGTTGGGACCAGAACCTCTTTCTGGTAACAAATACAGTAGAGCCAGAACTCCACTAAATGAACTTTACTGGTTATAGTCTCTTTAAGAACAGGAATTGGGCTGGGCGCGGTGGCTCACGCCTGTAATCCCAGCACTTTGGGAGGCTGAGGCGGGAGGATCATGAGGTCAGGAGATCAAGACTATCCTGGCCAACACGGTGAAACCCTGCCTCTACTAAAAATACAAAAAATTAGCCGGGCGTGGTGGCGGGCGCCTGTAGTCCCAGCTACTCAGGAGGCTGAGGCAGGAGAATGGCATGAACCCGGGAGGTGGAGCTTGCAGTGAGCCTAGATCATGCCACTGCACTCCAGCCTGGGCCACAGAGCGAGACTCCATTTCAAAAGAATAGGAATTGGCTGAGTGCAGTGGCTCACGCCTGTAATCTCGCCAGCACTTTGGGAGGTTGAGGCAGGTGGATCATTTGAGCCCAGGAGTTTGAGACCAGCCTGGGCAACAAAGTGGGACCCCCATCTCTACAAAACAATACAAAAATTAGCCAGGCATGGTGGTGTGCACCTGTAGTCCCAGCTACTCGGGAGGCTGAGGTGGGAGGATTGCTTGAGCCTGGGAGGTGGAGACTGCAGTAAGCCATGATAGCACCACTGCACTCCAGTCTAGGCAACAAAGCGAGACCCTGTATCAAAAAAATAAAAATAAAAAATAAGGAACAGGGATCATTCCCATCCCCATCCCTATCTTCCAAAAATTTTGGATGGGGAAATTTCCAAAACATCCCAAATCCAAACATTTCAAAAGACAAAAAGCAAGACAACCTGAATAACAGCGCTTCTAGGGATTGCTCACTGTAGGGCAGGCAGGCAAGGACCCACTCCCTCTTCATGACTGCAACACCTCACCATAGCTATAACCAGCCTCCAGGAGGACCTGGGCATTCTCAGACATTATGTACCAGACGTTTTGGAAATGTTCAACTGAATGAGATTTGGAAGTATACATATTTTTCTATGATATATGCACTCAAGTTAAAAATGTCTTTGTACAGGAGATTCGAAAAATATGAGCCTCTAGTCTAGAGACTTAGGAAGAGTGATGGTGTAACTGCTGACCTACAAGCATCACACAGAGGCATCATCACTTTGGCATTGGTTTATAAACTCACCGACAAGATAATCTTTTCCTCCTCCAAACTCCCATGGCACCTCTAGCATAAAGTGCACTGCACTTCAACACTGTTGTTCATCTGTCACATCCATTACACTGTGAGCTCCTTGACATCAGGGTAGGCAACCTATTCATCTTTTAGAACCCAGCAGAGCTGGTAAGAGGCTATTCTTTTTTTTTTTTTTTTTTTTTTTGAGATGGAGTCTTGCTTTGTTGCCCAGGCTGGAGTGCAGTGGTGCAATCTCGGCTCATTGCAATCTCCACCTCCTGGGTTCAAGCGATTCTCCTGTCTCAGTCTCCCGAGTAGCTGGGATTACAGGTGCAAGCCACTGAGCCTGGCTAATTTTTGTATTTTTTTTAGTAGAGACAGGGTTTCGCCATGTTGGCCAGGCTGGTCTTGAACTCCTGACCTCAGGTGATCTGCCCACCTCGACCTCCCGAAGTGCTGGGATTACAGGCGTGAGCCACCACACCCGGCCAGGGCTGTTCTTTTTTTTTAAGGCAATGGCACTCTTTCCATCTCTTCCTCCTGACCATTCCACCAAACATCTCCCACAGATACAAACCATAGAGAATATCAGGTATTTTCAACTTTGCTAATCAACTCTTTAAAATGATAGTCCATTTTAGAACTTGAACAAATATTTACTATACCATTTATCGACCCCAAGTTGGGCTTTCCTCCTCTTAAAGAAGTTCAGTGAACTACAAGAATTTGTGGATTAAAAAAAAAAAAATTTAACCCAAAGACTCCTAGTGACCTTTGCTGGAGCTAACACAGCATCTCTTAATCCAGCTCTAAAGGATGTGAAGAGCTCCAGGCCTGAGGCACCATGCTGTGCAGCAATTTACTTCTTCATTGCACCAGGCTCATCCCTCATTGCCCACAGCATCCAGGGGTAAACTCGGAACAAAAGATTGCTTACACTTTCATAACTTCAAAAATTACATCACACATGCATGTCCAGTGTTAAACTACAACTGATTACATGTACTGTCTAACGAAATTGTTGAATACTTGCTCTGCTTTTCTCCCTGTTGGCCTTACAATCCCTGTTTCTAATTTCCTTCCATCCTCGGGTCATAAAACTTTATACCCAGTGGCCTGGCACAAAAGTTTCTTTTCTTGTTTCCCTAATATCCTTAAAGCAGGCATTGCAGTCCACTGTACTTCTTCCTTCTATACAAGCTGGAACACCCTGAGTCCTAAGCTTTACTGTGCTTAAGAATGACCCGTGGGAGGCTGAGGTGTGTGGTTCACGAGGTCAGGAGTTCAAGACCAGCCTGGCCAGTATGGTGAAACCCCATCTCTACTAAAAATACAAAAACATTAGCCAGGCGTAGTGGCGGGCGCCTGCAACCCCAGCTACTTAGGAGGCTGAGGCAGAGAACTGCCTGAACCTGGGAGGCGGAGGTTGTAGTGAGCCAAGATCATGCCACTGCACTCCAGCCTGGGCAACAGAGTAAGACTCCATCTCAAAAAAAAAGAATGACTCACAAAGCGAATTGGAGACTCCAATGCAGGTGTACCACAAACTACACTTTGATCTATGGTGTGGCAGATGTCACAGCCGGATCACCCGCACATCCACAAACTATACGTTGAGACCCTCCGCACACTTAGTTGTTATATACATTATTAATAATTCACAAGTGAACACAACTGTGAATTATTAAAAATTCACAATTCATTCATTCATTCAGGTCGAGGTGGTCTCTTTCACTTCTTAAACTCCCATCCTTTTCCTACACCCATGACTTAATATCTCTGAGAATAAGTGAGTTTCTAAATGTCTGAGTTAATAGAAACATTCTTTTTACAAGCAAAACAGACCATTTCCTCAGTAACCCTTCCCAGAACCACCCATCTTACCACTCTTACCACTACTGATTAAAAAAAAGAAAAACAGGTAGTGCCGATCAAACCAGGCAAGCTGAAGCCCATGGCTCCTGGACACAAATGATGACAGCTGTGACTAAACTCCTAGGCAAGGCTCTTTGATGTGTCTATCTGGCCAATAGGCCTCTACATCTTGAAAGCAAAGTAGCAACATTGAGAAAAAAAAGGGCCAGGCTGTGAAATGCAAGTTCAAAGCAAGCAGCAAAGTATTAATAGTTGAGCTTCTTTCTGCAAATAAAACACAGAGCTCTAGAGGCAGCCCCTGCAAAATCAAGAGCAGAACTCCTCAAGGAGTCCTCTCACAAACAGAGAAGTACTCAGAGAGGACATCATTTTATTCACCTCCAACAGTCAATTCTTCAAATCTGACTTGATCATTTTATCTTCAAAAAACAGTCAGCACGGCCGGGCGCGGTGGCTCACGCCTGTAATCCCAGCACTTTGGGAGGCCGAGGCGGGCGGATCACGAGGTCAGGAGATCGAGACCATCCCGGCTAAAACGGTGAAACCCCGTCTCTACTAAAAATACAAAAAAATTAGCCGGGCGTAGTGGTGGGCGCCTGTAGTCCCAGCTACTTGGGAGGCTGAGGCAGGAGAATGGCGTGAACCCGGGAGGCGGAGCTTGCAGTGAGCCGAGATCCCGCCACTGCACTCCAGCCTGGGTGACAGAGTGAGACTCCGTCTAAAAAAAAAAAATAAAAAAAATAAATAAATAAATAAATAAAAAAACAGTCAGCACAATACTAAAATCCATTCCCTGTCTTATTTTCCCATTGCCCCTGCATTCGTTCAAGGTGTCTTCTTTTCTTACCTCCATGACTACAATATCCATCTAATTGCTACAACAGCTGATTGCCTTCCTTGCCCCTCCACTTCACTATCCACACCAGTCCATTCTCTCAACTGCCCCCAGAGCTTTTTTTTCTAAATCTAACCTTAGAATCTGATCTCATCATGACCTTGCTTGAAACCCTTCCAAGGAGGCCTATCCCCAGAAGGATGAAGTCCAAACTCAGTAGCAGGAATGGCCTACAAGGCCTTTCATGATTTGGCTGCCCGACTACCCTTCCAACTTCATTCTCTGCCATTTCTTCACCACATCTCATGTTAAACCCACACTATTTGCACATCCCTGAACAGAGGGTGCTCAGGCTTGTATTTTTGCATATTTCACTTCTGCTATTGGTATGCTTTTCCTATATCCTCCTCTATACCAGGTTAACAGAATTTTTTTTTTTTTTTTTTTTTGAGACAGATTCTCGCTCTGTCGCCCAGGCTGGAGTGCAGTGGTGCGATCTCGGCTCACTGCAAGCTCTGCCTCCCAGGTTCACGCCATTCTCCTGCCTCAGTCTCCCAAGCCCGGCTAATTTTTTTTGTATTTTTAGTAGAGACGGGGTTTCACCATGTTAGCCAGGATGGTCTCAATCTCCTGGCCTCGTGATCCCCCGCCTCGGCCTCCCAAAATGCTGGGATTAAAGGCATGAGCCACCATGCCGGCCAGTAACAGAATATTTTTAAAAGACAAGTCAACTCAAATCTCACCTTCGCCGGGCACGTTGGCTCACACCTGTAATCCCAGCACTTTGGGAGGCCAAGGTGAGTGAATTGCTTGAGTCAAGGAGTTCGAGACCAGCCTGGGTAACATGACAAAACTCTGTCTTTACAAAAATATACCAAAAATTAGCCAGGTGTGCATGGTGGTACACATCTCTAGTTCCAGCCCCAGGAGGCTGAGGTGGGAGGATCACCTAAACCCAGGAGTTTGAGGCTACAGTGAGCCATGATTGCGCCACTACACTCCAGCCTAGGTGACACAGTGAGACCCTATCTCAAAAAGAAAAAAATATATATAATCCACCTTATCCATTCAGGCTTCTCTGATTCCCCAAGGAGTGCCACCTACTCTCTCCTTTATGCTTCCATTGTACTTTGTGTCCATCTCAACATAACACTTACCATGCTCTGCTGCCATTATTTGCTACCTGTTTCTCTCCTCAATCAGATTGAGAGCTTCTTGAAAGCAGAGATCTTGTCTTTGTATATCTGGTTTCTAAGAATGCATACTGAGTAAATGAATAGAAGAAAAAATGAATGAGGCAATTAGTATGTATGCCTTGAATGGCATTAAATTTAGGCCTATGCCAATCAATGTGTAAAGGTTGAGAAAATAAATAAGGGGAAGCCAAGGATAGAAAATAAAACCATGCTCATCAGAATAGAAGAGGATAGGCTGGGCGCAGTGGCTCACGCCTGTAATCCCAATCACTTGGGGTCAATAGTTTGAGATGAGCCTGGCCAACATAGTGAAACCCCATCTCTACTAAAAACACAAAATTAGCCAGGCTTGGTGGTGCGCACCTGTAATCCCAGCTACTGGGGAGGCTGAGGCAAGAGAATCACTTGAACCTAGGAGGCAGAGGTTGCAGTGAGCCTAGATCGTGCCACTGCACTCCAGCCTGGGCTGGACAGAGCAAGACTCCATCTCTGAAAAATAAAATAAAATAAAATAAAACAAAAAAACAGAATAGAAGAAGATAGCTAAGAACCACAGTGGTCAAGCCAGCCTGGCTTCAACAGAGATGAATGGAGAGACCACGGTCAGCCCCATTAACAGAAGAACTGGGGCCAGGAACGGTGGCTCATGCCTATAATCCCAGCACTTTGGGAGGCCGAGGCAGGCAGATCATGAGGTCAGGAGTTCGAGACCAGCCTGACCAATATGGTGAAACCCCATCTCTACTAAACATACAAAAATTAGCCGGGTGTGGCAGCACATGCCTGTCATCCCAGCTACTCAGGAGGCTGAGGCAGGAGAAACGCTTGAACCCAGGAGGCAGAGGTAGCCATGAGCCGAGATCACGCCATTGCACTCCAGCCTGGCGACAGAGCGAGACTCCATCTCAAAAAAAAGAAGAACTGAGTTCAAAATCAGTTCGAAAGGTTCAATGTTGGGTCACAGGATCAGGCAAAAAGCAGAGGCAGAAAGGCCTTAGGAGTGTTCCAAGAACTAGCACTGGACCAGCTGAGAGTCAGAGAGAGTTCACCACGTGGGAACAATGCAGCCAGTCATGTGGGATGGTGGCACCATGACAGTATCTAGTCAGGACAATGACAGCCCTAGGGATAATGCTGATGAGTTCCTGCTTCAAAAAAGGTCATTGTCATTCCTTTAGTCCTGATACCTAGAACTATACAAGATTGTTCCCTGCCTCTCCCCAAGCCCCATAACTTGATCTTAAAGGCATTATTGTCAATTAAAGTAGTCCCAAGTTCTAGAAGCTATTTTTATTCAGCCTCGTCTAATAGGGCTTTCATTTTAAAATAGCTTTATTTTGAATCTATTTACTGTTCCCAGCCCCTATCACTTTGTTCTTATAAACATATTCATTCCACATGCATCACTGACAGGCACTGCTAGGAAAGGAAACTAACCCATCTTGGCCACCTTTACACATCAGGTACTTATACTAAGGTGATTTCTATATATTACAGTATTGAATCACCACAACAATCCAGTGACGTAGGTATCATTACATATTATTATCCCCAATTAAGACATTAGGGAAATGAAACGTAGGAAGATTCAGAGAAAGCACAGGAAGGTGAATATGCCCAAGATTTCACATTAAGTAAATGGAATGCAGGATTCAAATTTACCCCTGTCTGAATCTAAATCTCATTCTCTTTCCATGGCATCATTCTCTCTCCTCTCTAGGCCTTTATAGAGGAAATATAGGCCCAAATAAAATATCAAAATCTCAGGATGGGATGACAGGCTTGATTAAGAAACCCAGTCACCAAGACCACGCAGTAAGAAATGAAAAAGAAAAAAAATAATAAAATGCTGAGAACCATAGTCTGCAAAGTGAAAGGAAGAATACCTGGGAGAGCTAGAGTGACCTCCACATGCAAATACACCCTGCAGACAGGAACAGTCTTGATGGGAAGAGCAAACTCCCTAAATGGTCGGTTGTAACTTTCCTACTAGTTGAAAAGTCAGGAAAAGCCTTGTGTGCTAACTCTCTGGACAAGCGCACAAGAATCCAGGGTTGTGACTTCAAAAAAAAATATGCTGACAAGTCAGAGCTGGCAGAACAAGAGGAGGTCGAGTTGATGAGAAAAGAGAGAGAGAGAGAGAGAGAGAGAGAGAGAGCGCTGTAATCAAGGAGAACCAACTGAAGCTGGAGGGAAGCAGAAAGAATAGCCAGGCTGGTTCAGGAGGCAGTTCTGGTACCTCTGACCCCATTGCCCACCCCCAGTAGGCAGCATGAAATATGCCAGAGGTCAACAATTTTTTTTTTTTTTGTATTTTTTAGACAGAGTCTCACTCTGTCACCCAGGCTGGAGTGCAGTGGTGCAATCTCAGCTCACTGCAGCCTCTGCCTCCTGGGTTCAAGCAATTCTCCTGCCTCAGCCTCCCAAGTAGCTGGGAATACGTGCCCACCACCAAGCCCAGCTAATTTTTGTATTTTCAGTAGAGAAGGGGTTTCGCCATGTTTGGCCAGGCTGGCCTCAAATTCCTGAACTCAGGTGATCCACCGGCCAAGGCCTCCCAATGTGCTGGGATTACAGTTGTGAGTCACCGCACCCGACCCAGAGGTCAACAGCTTCTGCCCTAGATCAGAAGTTTACTCACTTTGCTCACTCGGTATAAATCAAGGACCCTCTCATACCTGGGAATGAGTTTTGTATTCCAGCCTAGAAGTAGAGCCAGTCCCAGTTTGAACTTTTTGCCTTTCTGTACTCCCAGTTCTTACCCTTTTGCTGAGCCTAGGACACATGCAAGGCCTGCCCTTCTTAATCCAGATTTTTGAGTCTTAATCCCAATTTTTCCTATAGTTTCCCATACACTCCATGGCAGCTTAGAGTAGGCTGAAAACTGCTGAACTGTTTAAGACTTAATCCTTCAGAGTAACATGGCAGAAGTAGCACACTTTTTTAACATAAAGCTGTTCAGGACTCTATTACAGAAGAGGCTATACTTCCTTAATTACATTCTATTCTACAGCCACCTCAAAATAACTAGTGAACACGTTCAACCAGGATCATTGGCAACAGCCAATGGGCACAGTGATCTGGAAATGGTCTAGCCAAGCTGTTTGGGCTGTAGACCATGGCATTCCTAAGAGCAAAATAGGCAAGGAGTCCATTAATATTTCACTTGACTTATGTCACCATGGAAACCCCTGGAGTAGTGAATGGCTTTGGGGAGTGGTCAGATTCAACCAAAAATAACAGAAATCTCTGTCCCCCAGGTAAAGGATTCCTACTTTGTGTGTGTCTGTGTGTGCACACAGGCACACTCGAGAGACTTTTGGCATTCTTTGAAGTCACTGGAGGGGCACAGAGATAAACCCACTCAGCCTTGGCCTCCAAGACTAACAGAACACAACGTTTCCCTGAAAGAATAAAAAAAAAAATACAGGCATAAGAAAACACACAAACATGGGCTTAGAGATTTAAATACACACACACACACACACACACACACACACACACAGGCCCTAGAAGGAACATACACCCTGAGATACGCACTCATTCTAAAATAAACTCGGGAATACAGAAGGACACGGGCATGTCCTTTCAGAGAGGCACACTTCTAGGCCCTAAGTAGGAGAAGGAAGAGGGGAGAGGAAGAGGCAGGGAGAGGGACAGGGAGGGGGGAGGAGGGAGGGAGAGAGAGAGAGAAACGAAGAAGGGGGCGGAGGAGGAGATGGAGGAGACACTCTTTATTCTATAGGAGGAGACATCACGGAAGAGAAATCAACACTGAGGCCTTGGCCGGGCGCGGTGGCTCACGCCTGTAATCCCAGCACTTTGGGAGGCCGAGGCGGGTGCATCACCTGAGGTCAGGAGTTTCCAGACCAGCCTGGCCAACATGGCGAAACCCGGCCTCTACTAAAAAATACAAAAATTAGCCGGGCATGGTGGCGCGGACCTGTAATCCCAGCTACTCGGGAGGCTGAGGCAGGAGAATCTCTTGAACCCGGAGACGGAGGTTGCAGTGAGCCGAGATCGCGCCATTGCACTCCAGCCTGGGCAACAGGGCGAGACTCCGTCTCAGAAACAACAACAACAACAACAACAACAACAACATCAACAACAACAACAACAACAACGAACAAACCAAAAACCAATGAGGCCTGAAGATAAAGACACATGTACAACCACGGATGTCAGACTTCCAGAGGCACGGCCAAGGCAAAAGACAAACACATACAGACTGCAGCAGGCAGACAGGCCGGTTCCAGAGTCAGGCTCCGGTGAAGCTCCGAAGAAACAAACACGCAGGGAGATTTCGGAGGCGTCCGAGGACACCGTGGGGCCCGGCTGGCTCCCTCTGTCTCTGTGCGCGCCCCTTCCCCGGGTCACCCCGCCTGCGCCCGACCTGCGCCCGCGCACCGCGCCCTCGGGGCTCCCTGGGACAGCCCGCGGCCTGGCCCGTGCGCCCGGGCTCCCCTCCCCGCCGGCCCGGCACTTCCCAGCTCTGACGCGGGAGCTTCTTTCACACCAATGGGGCTCGCGCGCGGAGGGGCCCTGCCCCTCCTCCGGGAAGGTGTGTCCCTGTTTCCTCACCTGAAACTTCCTAGGAGAACCCGATCCCTCCCTCCCGTCGGGCGGCCAGGGGCGGGCCGCGGGTGGGGCGGCCGGGCCTGCGCTGGGGACGGCTCTGGGGACTGCGGCCGGCGCCGGGACCTGGAGGGGACGCTGGGGCCGAAGCAGCATGTGACACCGACCAGGTGGGTGCCCTCCTCCCGTCTCGGCCCTGGGCTCCCGGCGGCTGTGGAGCCCGGCGGAGGTGGGGCAGGGACAGGAAGGAAGAGGAAGCCAGGCCTTTCCCAGGGATCAGCCCCCGCTGGGTCCGGGGCGCAGGCTCCGGAAATGGGGGGGCTGGGCCCGCAGGCAGGGCTCGGGGTGTGTGGCTGAGGACCCTGGTGGGGAAGAGGAGAGGAACTAGAGGAAATGTTGTTGCCTACAAGTTTGCTTCCGGTCGGGTCCCGCCTAGGAAATGGGCACCCTGCCCCCAGACGTTCCCCGGGCCAATAATCAGGGCTCTTTCTTCAAAGTAGGCGCCCTGGGGAAAGCTAAGCCATATCAGAAGGAATAACTGAGATTCCCTTTCTAGGCTGTTCCTTACCTGGAGAGGTTTTATCGGCTCCTTTTCCTTAACCAGGCCGGGGCCTTTCCTTATGTATCTCCATAGGTATTTGCATACTGTGTGAGTCTATGTGTAGCTTCTCTCCGTGTTAACCAAAGCTCCGTAACCTGGAACAGTGAATCCTGCCCTGCCCCTCACCCCAGTTCCCTACATATGGGGAGCCTCCTAAAGCTTGATGTGAATCACAACGTTGCATTCTTAGCAAGGTGGAAAGAAGTTATTTAGAGTTGGGGGCTGAGGTAGGCGTTGGGGTGCTAGAATGCGGACGCAGAGCTCTAGAACCCCTGAGCATCTTTTGCAGTTGCCTTCCGGCAAGACTACCGGAGGAGAGCCAGTTGTGATACTACGTCATTTCCAGATCTCAGTCCCTTTCTTCCCTTCCTGGATCTTGGGTTCCAAAGACAGATTTGCCCTCCTGTCTACCTAGAAGTGAACTCTGGCCAGGACTCTTGTCTGGTTGAGAGAGAAGGGTGTGTCAAACAGATGAGAGAGGGTGGTTTTCCTTTCGAGCTTCCTCCCTAGCTTGCTCCCCTACTGCACTCCACTGTCTGGCCTTGCATCTTGGGCCTAATCCAGAGGTCCCAGCTCCAGCTAAAAAGCTCTTGATGTGGCCTCTGTCTCAGACGTCTTGTTTTATCCACATTTGGAGCATGAAGAAGTTCCTGGCATAGGCCTTAGCAAAATGGGTGTCATTTGTTAACCAATCTGTGGGCCTAAAAGTGAAGCCATGGCTAGTGAAGGAGTCCTGGGGAGCTGGGAAGATGGGATGAGGGCGTGTCAGTTCTGGGTGAGACTGATATGCAGGAGGAATGTATGTCATGGTCCTAGTGGGGAGGAGAGAGAAATCAGGAGGAGTGCAAAGGAATCCCTCTCATCAACAGAATATAGTGATTCTCAATAGAGAGAAGAGTGTTCATATATTAGAGGTCCTGAGAGTGTATCAGTGCCCTTAACGCGGTCTGTCTGAGGTTCCGTGGCCACGTTACACGTGGTGTCTGTGGGATAGACAGGAATACGTCATTTGTGGTGTCTGGAGAGGTCAGTCGCTATGTGGTATGGACAGGAATGGAGTCACTCGTAGGGTCTTGGGTTCAACGGGAGCAGCATTACTCAAGTGTCAGTGGTGTAGACAAACAGGTGACCAACAGCTCTAGTGTAGACAGGGGCTGGGTCACTCACAGTGTCTGTGGAGTAAGCAGGAGCCGATCACTTATAGTGCCTGCAAGGTAGACTGGAACAAAGTCACCCTCAAGGTCTGTGTTAATACACAAACACGTCACTCACACTAATGTTATCTGTGTGTATGCCACCAGGACCACAGATGAGATTGTAGAGTGTAAGTCAGCATTGACACTAATAATGTTCTTATATAAACTATCTGGTCTATAAGGCAGTTGGTGTGACATTTTCAGACATTAGAGAATAGATAAATGTGTATTACAGCTTTCACTGGCATGGTGGGACTTTCCTGCAATGGATAGAACACACACTGTAGTAGTCAGTGGTCCAGAAAGCTACCCCTGTTTTGATATCTTTGTAGTATTGAGGGCAGTGATGTCAAACAGTGAATAAAGTTATATATCTATGTGGTGATCTTATTTTAACCTCAATATTATTTTAGTGATTTGTAAGTCAGAATATTTGAAATCAACCTTGCTAGAAAATCCAGGAAGCATGGTCCTCAAAAATATATATATGGCACTGAGTCTCAGTTCAAAGATTTGGCAGTTTGATTGGGGAGGGGTTGTATCCTTGAAATACAGTGTTGTTTCTAGTGACTAGAAATAGACAAGAGCTAAGGTGTTGGGGGGGGCTCTAGGGAAGATAGTGAGCTCTGTCACACATTATGTTAAAGGGATGACTTGAAGCTTTGCCTCTCAAGAAGTCACACGTGGGTGAGGTTATGTGGATGCAGAATGTCTGTGGTCTGAAGCAAGGCCGTATCCCCATAATCCCATGCCCTGGCTTTGCCTGTACACAGATAAACAGTGATTATTCACCCTCAGTGGAGAAGGAGATGAGGATGTTTGCACTCTAACGTAATGAGCATTGCAAAAAACTCTCTCCTGATGCCTTTACGTGAGTAAGACCATGATTTACAGATTTCCTTTCACTTTGTCACATTTTAGCTTTGTCATGCCTGATTGCAACGGGATCACTGAGATAGGATCAAGTATAGGGAACGTGGGGTATGTTCTCCCTTTGCGGTAACTGGTGGCTGAGCAGGTGACCACTGATATTTCCAAATGAAAAAAGACAGTTAGAAACGGTGTCAATGGGCTTGCAGAGGCAGGCATGCACTGTGCCACTAGATTGGAACAGAAAATGTCCAGGTAGCACATGGTATTTATAGATATACCCTAGATATGGCAGAAACACACTTTTATTTAGAGGCTACTTGTTTTGAAGACGTGATGGTGTATATGGAGGAGAGGGCCTGAACCATGCAGATGTAAGTGAGGAGAGACTACAGGTTTAGTCCCATGGTCTCCTTAGGCCAAGTTTCAGAAAGTGTCTTAAAGTAAGCAAGTATATTATTCGATGTGTGGTTGAGAGAACAGGGCCACATCACAGAATCACCCATAGGGATTATAGTATTTTGTACTTAAGGGCTAGACATAGGGAGCCAATCGCATATGGTGTCAGTTAACTGGAAAAGGACATAAAAGTCCTTCTGCCTGTGTACAATTATGTCAGACATATCTCTTTGCCCCATATAGATGGTATCTCTGTCTCTGGGATGGCCAGAATCTTGTCACATACTACTCTGCAGTGTGCTAGGGACCTGCCTGTTTGGTTATGTCAGGCTCTATTGCAAGAGTTTGTAAGGATGGCTCAGTGTGTGTGTGTGTGTGTGTGTGTGTGTGTGTGTGTGTGTGTGTACACACACAGTGGCTAAGCAGGACAGTATTCTGAGCAGGTGAGTTTTCAGTTTAAGCCTGGACCAGACAAGAAAGGTGCACGGTCAGGTGCAGCATTGGGTCCATAGAATTCTGGGGTCTTCTCTGGACTGATGGCCTGCCAGCTTTCTTTCAGTAGGACCTCTAAGTGCTTACAGGAGACTTAAGTCAAGCGACTTTGCTTCAGGTTTGCCCATACCATTTGCTTAGGAGATTTGAGCAAGGGTCTAGGGTCTTTGACCTTTAGTTTCTTCATCTGTAAATTGAGCAGTTTCTGTGTGTCTCTGAAGGTCCTTCCGGCTTTATGAATCCTGTGTTTCTCTCTTACACTTATTCTCTGTCTCTCAGGTCAACAGTATTTACCACAGCCACCATTTCTATGACCCTTAAAGATAGCAGTGTACATTTTTATGTTACCTTATTTAATCTTTACTAGAACTGTGAAGGAATCCTTTTATCTCCTTTTTAAAGATAAGAAAATGGATGTTCAAATAAATTTAATGGTTTCTACAATTGTCTTAAAACCAGCAAAGATACCAGAGAGGCACAACCAAACACTGATCCACACTCTTCTAACTCTATATTCTTCCGTCATTCATTCATACGATACATCTTTGTTGAGGGCCAACTAGGCTTCAGGCAGAGGGGGTTATATGGCAGTGTTTGTCCCTTCATGGTGCTCATAATCTAGCCTGGAAAATAGACATTAAATATGACATGACAAGTGCAAGGTGTGTTTGAGGAGAAGCAAAGGATTCTCTGTTGCAAAAGAGGATTCCAGGCAGAGGAGCAGTGTCTACAAAGGCCTACAGGTGAGAGACACAGAGAGAAGTGAGCTAAAGACACTGAAAGCCAGTGGGAGAGGGGGGGGATGGGGGCAGGGACAGATGGTGACAGGTGAATAGGCTGCTAGAGAAGAAGGCAGAGCCAGGTTGTGCAGGGAGTATAACCCATGCTGAAGATTTAGATTTCATCTCAAGAGCATTCAGAGGCTGCTGAAGAATCTAAGCTAGAACTGGTGCTTTTGAAGCTCACTTAGGTGCTGTATGGAGAAAGGACTGGAATAGCGTGAAATGGGTGGAGGCCAGTGCCCAAGCTGTGGCCGGGTGCAGTGGCCCGGGCGAGACGGTAGCAGCATGCACCAGTGGAGAGGGATGGGATAGAAGTGGACAGTCTTAAGGGATATTTAGCAGACGAGGTCAATAGCACATGGTGATTGATTAGATATGGGGAATCTGGGCCAGGAGGGAAACAAGAATTTTATTTTATTTTAATTAATTAATTTATTTATTTAGAGACAGAGTCTCACTCTGTCACCTAGGCTGGAGAGCAGTGATGTGATCTTGGCTCACTGCAGCCTCTGCCTCCTGGGCTCAAGGGATCCTCCCAGGATCCCTCTCCTGCCTCAGCCTCCCGAGTAGCTGGAACTACAGGCACGTGCCACCATGCTCCACTAATTTTTGTATTTTTTGTGGAGACAGGGTTTCACCAGGTTGTCCAGGCTGGTCTCAAACTCCTAGATTCAAGCAATCAACCTGCCTCAGCCTCCCAGAGTGTCAGGATTATATACATAAAGTGCATTGGGAAACTCAGTTTTTCATCTGTAAAATGGGCAGAATAATGGTACCCATCTTATACGATGACTCTTAGATGTATGGCACATACATATTTAAAGAAGCATTTCATTATTTTTAATGACATGTATGCAGGAAAACCTTAGTGTTTCAGAATGAAAAATAAGAAAAATTAATTTGTTGTGTATAGAGCTCTAAATGTTTAAAGTTCTGTGTAAACTGTTAATCATGATTTTAGGAAAAGGTGGGCATATTCCATTGAAGTAAAAGGATCACATTTTATTCTGACCTGAATTTTATTCTTTATGTGAAAAATATTTATTAAACACTGAGTATAGGCCACTATTAGGCTAAGTATGGATAATTCAGCAAGTCATAGTTCTTAATCTCATAAATTTTACTATCTATTGGTTGCAATAGAGGGTAACTCAAAATACACACATCATTATATAATTATAATTGTATAAATGCTACAAAGGAAAAGTAAAGAGAATTATAGTTGGTAAGTGCTACAAAGAGGGGTACAATTTAACCTAGTTAAAAGATCAGGGGAGG
Organism: Homo sapiens; assembly: GCF_000001405.40. Taxonomy (NCBI): domain Eukaryota; kingdom Metazoa; phylum Chordata; class Mammalia; order Primates; family Hominidae; genus Homo; species Homo sapiens. The sequence goes on from NC_000007.14 coordinate 144,360,950, forward strand.
CCAGGTGTGGTGGCTTACGCCTATAATCACAACACTTCGGGAGGCCGAGGCGGGTGGATAACGAGGTCAGGAGATTGAGACCATCCTGGCCAGAATGGTGAAACCCCGTCTCTACTAAAAGTACAAAAATTAGCTGGGTGTGGTGGCACACACCTATAGTCCCAGCTACTCGGGAGGCTGAGGCAGGAGAATGGCTTGAACCCGGAGATGGAGGTTGCAATGACCCAAGATTGCACCACGGCACTCCAGCCTGGGTGACAGAGCAAGACTCCATCTCAAAAAAAAAAAAAAAGAAAAGAAAAAAAAAAAAAGACTGGAGGAAACTGAAGGGGTAAAACCAGGAAAATGTAATACCACAAGTAACAAGAGAGTATTTCTAACCTCAGTACTGTCAAATACTGACAAGAACCACCCAAAATGAAGATCCATAAGGTCTTCTTTGGAATTAACAACATGTCGATTGTAGGGAATATTGGCAGAATGCCGCTATCAAAGCTCAGTTGGAGGCAGGTGGGATGTGAGAGTATGAAGACAGCAGATAAGAGCAACTCCTTCTAGTCATTTGAAAGATGAGAAGAATGTGGGAATGCTTCCATACCCCAGGGGTTGTTCAGCAGGGATGTTGAAGGTATGAGTGCACAGTGTTCCTGGGGAAGCAGGCAAGAAATGACAGAGCATGGAAAGGAGGGATACGTCTTTTCCTGACTGAGGGCGGAAGATAGAAAGAGTGGAAATACAGGTTGCTTTGGATCGCAAGAAATTGAGGTGAGAGAAACCCAGTTCCATCAGTTTCTATTTTCTTTGCAAAATAGGAGATGAGGTGTTCTGCTGGAAGTGAGAAGAAAGGCAGGAAGGTCGAAATCAAAAGACAGGAAGGTCAAAAGAATTAATGAGAAGAGTTCATATGGATACTGAGGCCAAGGGGAGAGTAAGGTGATGCAGAAAGCACCCTTCTGTGGTCTTCCTTCAAGGTGGTAATGTGTCTAGTTCAACACTAATCCAATAAGGCTGTTATCATCCCACTTTACAACAGCTGCCTCTAGAATTGGAAACAAAACTGTTAGTTACAATGCTGTAGTAGACACTATGGAAAACAGAAAGATGAGTAAACTCCAAACCCTCTGTAAAGAAGATGAAACCATAGCACCTCACACATTGGCTATCATAGCCTGGCCTATTTTAACTGATGTCCACAGCTTAAGAGGAAGACCCTCTCCTGACACTGCTTCTCTGGCCTAATAGATCTGAGGTGTGTCCCTTGCTGTGTCTGGGGGTTATATGAGGATGAGTCACTCCTAGTGTCCGAAGAGTAGACAGGGAGAGACAGAAGATGACATAATGGAGTCTAGAGAGAACTGACAACTGGGAGCTTCTGGGCACTCTCTGACAATGGTCCTCTGCTATAATTTAATTGTTCATTATGACCTGTTTCCCTCACAAGACCACAGTCTCCATGACGACAAGATCTTTATCTCATTCACTACTGAATGCCCCACACTTAACAGGGTCGCTAGGAAAATATTTATGAAATAAATACATCAATGACAAGTTTTTTAGAGGCTATTGCTTATTTTGTTGAGAACCTGTTGTCTCAAAGAATGACCCTAAATGGAACCAAATAAATGCATCACTCTTCTTTTTTATGGTCTCTTCCTCTGATAGGTAAAAGCAGAGTTGTTAGAAACATTTGTCTTTGATTCCTCCTTAGGATTCAGCCCTGATGGAGGCTGAGGAGGCCCAGCGTGGAGCCTCTCCTCCCATCTCTGCCATAGAGGAATTCAGCATTATCCCTGAGGCTCCCATGAGGAGCAGCCAGGTCTCTGCCTTGGGGCTTGAAGCTCAAGAAGATGAGGACCCATCCTATAAGTGGAGAGAGGAACACAGACTCTCAGCAACTCAGCAGAGTGAGTTAAGGGATGTGTGTGACTATGCGATTGAGACGATGCCCTCTTTTCCCAAGGAAGGTTCTGCAGATGTGGAGCCCAATCAGGAAAGCCTTGTGGCTGAGGCCTGTGACACTCCGGAACACTGGGAGGCAGTACCCCAGAGCCTAGCAGGCCGACAAGCAAGGACTCTAGCTCCCCCAGAGCTCTGGGCCTGCCCCATTCAGAGTGAGCATCTAGACATGGCCCCATTTTCCAGTGACCTGGGAAGCGAAGAAGAGGAGGTGGAATTTTGGCCAGGACTTACTTCTTTGACATTGGGATCTGGACAGGCAGAAGAAGAAGAGGAAACCTCTTCAGATAACTCTGGTCAGACCAGATATTATTCTCCCTGCGAAGAGCATCCTGCAGAGACCAACCAGAATGAAGGCTCTGAAAGTGGGACTATCAGGCAGGGGGAAGAGCTGCCACCTGAGGAGCTGCAGGAAAGTCAAGGGCTCTTGCATCCCCAGGAGGTCCAAGTTCTGGAGGAGCAGGGACAGCAGGAAGCAGGATTTCGGGGGGAAGGAACTCTGAGGGAGGATGTTTGTGCCGATGGGCTATTAGGGGAGGAACAGATGATAGAGCAGGTTAATGATGAAAAGGGAGAACAGAAGCAAAAACAGGAACAGGTACAAGATGTGATGCTTGGGAGACAAGGAGAAAGAATGGGGCTCACTGGGGAGCCAGAGGGTCTGAATGACGGTGAGTGGGAGCAGGAGGATATGGAGAGGAAGGCTCAGGGTCAGGGAGGTCCAGAACAGGGAGAAGAGAGGAAGAGGGAGCTGCAGGTGCCAGAAGAGAATAGGGCGGACTCTCAGGACGAAAAGAGTCAAACCTTTTTGGGAAAATCAGAGGAAGTAACTGGAAAGCAAGAAGATCATGGTATAAAGGAGAAAGGGGTGCCAGTCAGCGGGCAGGAGGCGAAAGAGCCAGAGAGTTGGGATGGGGGCAGGCTGGGGGCAGTGGGAAGAGCGAGGAGCAGGGAAGAGGAGAATGAGCATCATGGGCCTTCAATGCCCGCTCTGATAGCCCCTGAGGACTCTCCTCACTGTGACCTGTTTCCAGGTGCCTCATATCTCATGACTCAGATTCCCGGGACTCAGACAGAGTCCAGGGCTGAGGAACTGTCCCCCGCAGCTCTGTCTCCCTCGCTAGAGCCCATCAGGTGCTCTCACCAGCCCATTTCTCTACTGGGCTCCTTTTTGACTGAGGAGTCACCTGACAAGGAAATAGATCAAAACAGCCAGCAAGAGGAATCCAGGCTGAGGAAGGGAACAGTGTCCAGCCAAGGGACTGAGGTGGTCTTTGCCAGTGCATCTGTGACTCCTCCAAGGACACCAGATTCAGCTCCTCCCAGTCCTGCTGAAGCCTACCCCATCACACCTGCCTCGGTATCTGCCAGGCCCCCAGTTGCCTTTCCCAGGAGGGAAACCTCTTGTGCTGCACGTGCTCCAGAAACTGCCAGTGCCCCTCTCTCAATGGATGACCCATCTCCCTGTGGGACTTCTGAGATGTGCCCGGCTGCCCTCTATGGCTTCCCCTCCACCGGGACCAGCCCTCCGAGGCCCCCAGCCAACTCCACAGGCACCGTCCAGCACTTACGGAGTGACTCCTTCCCTGGTTCTCACAGGACAGAGCAGACTCCAGACCTGGTGGGAATGTTGCTTTCCTACTCCCACTCAGAGCTGCCCCAGAGGCCCCCCAAACCTGCCATCTACAGCTCTGTGACCCCAAGAAGGGACAGAAGGAGTGGTAGGGACTACAGCACCGTTTCAGCATCCCCTACTGCCTTATCCACGCTGAAGCAGGACTCTCAAGAATCCATCTCAAATCTAGAGAGACCCAGCAGTCCTCCCAGCATCCAGCCCTGGGTCTCCCCACATAATCCAGCCTTTGCCACAGAGTCTCCCGCCTACGGTTCTTCCCCATCCTTTGTCTCCATGGAGGATGTGAGGATCCACGAACCTCTGCCCCCTCCTCCCCCACAGAGGAGGGACACCCATCCCTCCGTGGTGGAGACAGATGGCCATGCTCGTGTAGTGGTTCCCACGCTGAAGCAGCATAGCCACCCTCCTCCATTGGCCCTAGGTTCAGGGCTGCATGCCCCCCATAAAGGCCCACTTCCCCAAGCCTCTGACCCCGCTGTGGCCAGGCAGCACCGACCTCTGCCATCTACCCCAGACAGCTCCCACCATGCTCAGGCCACCCCCAGGTGGAGATACAACAAGCCGCTACCCCCTACCCCTGATTTGCCGCAGCCCCACCTTCCTCCCATTTCTGCTCCTGGTAGCTCAAGGATCTACAGGCCTCTACCCCCACTACCCATCATAGACCCTCCCACCGAACCACCCCCATTGCCCCCAAAGTCCAGGGGGAGGAGCAGGAGCACTCGGGGAGGACATATGAACTCAGGGGGTCATGCCAAAACAAGACCTGCTTGTCAAGACTGGACAGTCCCCCTCCCTGCCTCTGCTGGACGCACCTCCTGGCCCCCGGCCACAGCTAGATCAACAGAGTCTTTCACTTCCACCAGCAGGAGTAAGAGCGAAGTGTCCCCTGGCATGGCTTTCAGCAACATGACAAACTTCCTATGCCCCTCTTCCCCTACCACTCCCTGGACTCCGGAGCTCCAGGGACCCACCTCTAAGGATGAAGCAGGGGTCTCAGAACACCCTGAGGCCCCTGCGAGAGAACCTTTGAGAAGGACAACCCCTCAGCAAGGAGCCAGTGGCCCAGGGAGGTCACCTGTGGGCCAAGCAAGGCAGCCAGAAAAACCCAGCCATCTGCACCTGGAGAAGGCGTCCAGCTGGCCCCACAGGCGGGACTCAGGGAGGCCACCAGGGGACAGCAGTGGACAGGCTGTGGCTCCTAGTGAGGGGGCCAACAAGCACAAGGGCTGGAGCCGGCAGGGCCTGCGCAGACCTTCCATCTTGCCTGAGGGCTCTTCAGGTGAGCAAGAACCGGGACCACAGTGACACATCAGACCAAGCTTTTCCCAGCTCTTCCCACCTCATCCCATCTTCTGTCCCTAGGGTTCCTAACATTCTCTCTGCTGGCTTCGCTCACATGTGTGCCTAACCTCAACACAGAGAGAGCCCCGAAGTGCCCTCCAAGCTCCTTGGGATGCTCTTCCTTCTTCTTCCCCTCTATCTCCCTGTCTCTCCCTCAACCAGCACCTTCTTTGGATGTCCCAAGGTTATTTTGGACTCCCTTCTACTCTTCAGTTACAGTCCCTGCTTGCTCTCCTCCTGGGGAGTAGAAAAGGCCTTCTGTACTTGTCCCAGTCCCATCCTGACCCGTGGCTCGGGACGTCACTGGTACTGATCTCTTTCACGCTCTCTGCTTTGCCACTTTCTTCCCTCCCAGTTTCCCAATAAAGCCCATTTTCCCTTCTGGACCCCTGCATCTCCTGCTCTAGATCTTCTTTGGCTCTCTCTATCCCTCTGAAATCTCAGTTATCTTCCCCATTTCCACTTTTAGATTCAAGAGGTCCAGCCGTGGAGAAACATCCGGGACCCTCAGACACTGTTGTTTTTCGGTAAGTCACCCTCTCCCCTAACAGCCACACTGTACTCTCTTCACTTGGGATACTGAGAGTCCCCTAGTGAGGATTTCAGTTGATAAGGGTTCTGAGACCCCGAATGGCTCATTCCTGTTTCTTCTTGGTGTAAGGAGGAGAAGAGAGAGATGCCGGGATGCCAGCTTAGGGAGATTGTCTTTATCTACCTCATTCGGTCAGCCGAGCCTACGAGTCATCCATCTTCCCAAGCCCTATGGCTGTGAACTAAACCCCACAAAAGCTCCATGTTAGCCCAAGTGGGTCAAGTTGCAACTCTGTGCCTCTCCGGGGGATTTGGTCTTGACATCCCAGCACACATCCCAGAGGCTAGAGACTTTGTCCCCCACAGTCACCTGGGGTGCTCTGTGTCTAATGGCCAGTAGGTACCCCAGAGCCCTTCTTTACTCCACAGGGAGAAAAAACCAAAGGAGGTGATGGGAGGCTTTTCAAGACGCTGCTCCAAACTCATCAACTCCTGTGAGTACCTTGAAGTGGAACTATAGAACCAGGTGGGCATTCTGCCCAGCACTGGAGAGGGGCTTGTGGATGTCAGCAGTGGGGTGGGGATGTCCCTAGCGAGAAGGCATTGCAGAAGATCTGTTTCCCTGCCTCCGCTCACCGTCCCTTCTTCCTGCTTCTCTTCCTTCCCATGCTTCTTTGCCCTGCAGCCCAGCTGCTTTACCAGGAGTATAGTGATGTTGTCCTGAATAAGGAGATCCAGAGCCAGCAGCGGCTGGAGAGCCTGTCCGAGACACCCGGGCCTAGCTCTCCGCGGCAGCCTCGGAAGGCCCTGGTCTCCTCCGAGTCGTACCTGCAGCGGCTCTCCATGGCCTCCAGCGGCTCCCTCTGGCAGGAAATCCCCGTGGTGCGCAACAGCACCGTGCTGCTCTCCATGACCCATGAAGACCAAAAGCTGCAAGAGGTACTGGGCAGGCCACGGTGGGGAGGGGGCTACAGAAAAGATGACAAGGTCTTGTTTGCTAGCATCCTTCTCTCCTGCTCACCACTGCCACCAAGAGTCGGCTGTCCCCACCACACAGGCGCGTGTACATGCCACAGCTGTGGGTCATGTCCATTCTGAAGAAGTTGAATTGTTTTCTGGATTTCACCACCTCCCCTTTCATCCTCACCTCCTCATGCCATAGGCCACTTGCTCCTACCTGATGTTGGTCTGGGCTATACATGGTGGCCATTGCCTCTGAATTTGTGTGGAGGAATGTGGAGTTAATCCCATCATCACTGCTGTTTCAGGGTAGAGGAAAGCTTCCCTGTTCAACCAGGGTTTCAGGCTACACTACAGTTTTCCTCTTTAGCCAAGGCACATTCCGGGGCTCTTTGTTGGGTCCCTTGAAGAGGGCCCTTTGCAGCTGTCCTGTGGTCCATCAATCTAACAGGGGCCTTAGAGTGATCATCAGTCCCTGCTTGATTGTTACTCCCAACAGCAAGACTGAACTAGAGGCTGTTTGTCTGATTCTAAGCTATTACCATTAGTAAGTTTTACATGGAGAGCGCCTCTTATTAATTTGTCTGAAATATGGGGTAAAACCTTTCTTCCCAGAAAGACAGTATGGAACAATGGAATAGAATAATGTTTAAGAAATTAGGTTCTGGAAGAAATGACCTGGATATGAAAACCACTTTTTTTTAAAATTATTAATTTATTAGAGACAGGGTCTTGCTCTGTCACTCAGGCTGGAGTACAGTGGTACAATCATTGTTCACTGCAGCCTCAACCTCCTGGGCTCGAGCAATCCTCCCGCCTCAGCCTCCCAAGTAGCTAGGACTACAGGTATGTGCCACTATGCCTAGCTAATTTTTTAATTTTTTGAAAAGATGGTGTCTCACTATGTTGCCCAGTTGTCTCGAGCTCCTGGGCTGAAGCAATACTCCCGCCTCGGCCTCCCAAAGTGCTGGAATTACAGGCATGAGCCACTGAGCCCAGCCCCAGAGCCCACTTTAATATTTCCAATTTACCTTTGGCCAAATGACATTTGTAAAACTGAGATACAAACAGTTACTGCAAGGATCAAGAAACATGAATGCCTGGTACATAGTAATTTCTCAAAAAATGTTGACTTTTCATTTTAAGTAAGCCAGACCTAGGTTTGAAACATGACTTCACCATTTGCTAGCTTAGGCAGCCTTATAACATCACTAAATCTCAGTTTCCTCACTTGCAAATTGAGGATAATAATGCCTACCTTTCAGGGTTGCTGAATGGTTTAAATGAAATAATGCATATCTAATTTAGCAGTAATATTTGATGTATAGTTTGATAAATATTAGTGCCGTACTCTCTGCCTTTCAGAGGCAGGGAGGAGTAAAATTTGGGCCAGGAGGACTTATGGACAGACAATGCTTTTACCAAGTCAGAGAGAGAATACATTTTTAGACTTTGCAAAGTTCAGACTTGAGAGCCCTGTTGTGGCTGCAAATTTTTAAGCACAGAGAAGATATTTAGAAAATAACTCATCTTCCCCATATTTGTTGACCAAACAGTGGGAGATGACACGAGTTCTAGCTCTCTTTTACCAACTCCAGCATGCTGGGAAGTCCAGCAGGACTCCTATTCCAGCCCTGGTCTCATGTTTGTGAGAAGAAAGGGCTTTACATTTCTATCTCTTAAACACACATATTCATTTTATAAAGTAGTACCTCTGGGGTTCACAAAGTGCTTTCACAGGCTCCATTTCTTTCAACTGTTGCATCTTCCACAGTGAGATGGGGGTCACTATATCCACATAAAAGGACACGAAAAGTGAGATTCAGAGAGGTTAAATGAGCCACCCAAAGTCAGTCGTGTAGTGAATGTTAGAGCAAGGATGCAAATGAGCCTTCAGTGTCCCTGTTCAGGGTTGTTGTATGGGAGGGTCATCTGGCTGTGTCATTGGTCATCCAAGTCATCACCAGGGTGTGTCTCCTTTCTCTTTTCTATCCAGGCATCTCTCTTGAGGCCACATGCTTGGATGAAAAGCATGAGGAGCCCAGCTAGAGGCACGGTCATGAGTCATAGCGCCCCCTGCTGGAACCTCCAGACAAGTTCTCACATGCTGGGCATGCATTAAACCACAGCTGCGCCATCTTGTTCTCAGATATCCTGCTTCTGTCTCCTGCTTCTCGCGCCATCTTGTTCTCAGATATCCGGCTTCTGTCTCCTGCTTCTCATCTGTCCTCAAACCTCAAACTGAGCTCATCACCTTCATCCCCTAAATCTATGCCTTTTCAAAGTTCTCTGGCTCAGTAAATGACTCCATCATTCACCCAGGTGCCCGACTCAAAAAGCTTTTGCTGTGAGTACAAAACATTAGCTTTGAACCTTCCTTCTCTTTGAGGCCCCATTTCTAGCAAATAATCCAACCCTTCCAATTCTACCTCATAAATAATTATAAAATTAATCTACTTCTCTTCAGCTCCATGGCTATTCAGACCTTCATCTCTCATGTGGAATTATTACAACAGTTTCTTAACATGGATGGCTTTTGCTTCTTTTCATCTTTTCTTCTCATTCTGCTTAGAAATAACTTTATGAAAAACAGGCTGGGCGCAGCGGCTCACACCTGTAATCCCAGCACTTTGGGAAGCCGAGGCGGGTGGATCAACTGAGGTCAGGAGCTTGAGAACAGCCTGGCCAGTATGGTGAAACCCTGTCTCTACTAAAAATACAAAAATTAGCTGGGCGTGGTGGTGCATGCCTGTCATCCCAGCTACTCAGGAGGCTGAGGCAGGAAAATGGCTTGAACCTGGGATGCGGAGGTTGCAGTGGGCTGAGATCGTGCCACTGCACTCCAGCCTGGGTGACAGAGCAAGACTCCATCTCAATTCCAAAAAATAAAAAAAAATAACTTTATATAAAACAAATGTGGTCAAGTTATTCTCCTATGTAAAGCCTGTTTTCATTGTCCCATTGTCTTAAGTCCAAACAATTTTACATTGTTTACATTACCCTTCAGGCCTCCTCGACTGCTGCAGCTTCATCTCTGGCCACTACTGCTGTACACTTGGTTCAAAAAATGCTCAATTTATTTAGTTTAGTTAGTTTGTTTGTTTGTTTTGAGATGGGGTTTCACTCTGTCACCAGGCTGAAGTGCAGTGGTGCAATCTGGGATCACTGCAACCTCACCTCCCAGGCACAAGCAATCCTTCCGCCTCAGCCTCTCAAATAGCTGGGACTACATGTGCACGCCATCACATCCGGCTAATTTTTGTATTTTTTGTAGAGACAGGGTCTCTCTACGTCGCCCAGCCTGGTCCTGAACTCCCAGACTCAAGTGATGCACCCACCTCAGCCTCCCAAAGTGTTGGGATTACAGGCGTGAGCCACTGCACCCAGTCTATTTAGCTTTTTTAATATAAATTTCATTGTGTATATTAAAGATATACAACATGATGTTATGGGCTACATATAAATAGTAACAGAATTACCCTAGTGAAGCAAATTAACATATCCATCTCACTTTGTTACTCATTTTTTGTTCTTGTTTTTGTTATTTAGATTTCTTGAAAGCATATTTTTCTTTTATACCTTTGAAGGCCTGTACCTGTACCCTAGATTAAATCCTACTCAAATGCTCTTCCCCTCCCCGCAGATCAACTTAGGTTCTGGTGTGACTGTGAACCATAAAAGGATCTTGCTCACTGCTCTATCCCCAAAACATTACACAGTGGCTGGCATATTCCAGGGGGTAAATAAAATCCTTAATTAATCTTCCTCATCTCCAACCTCCTAGGTCAAATTTGAGCTGATTGTGTCAGAGGCCTCCTACCTGCGCAGTCTAAACATAGCTGTGGATCATTTCCAACTTTCAACTTCACTCCGGGCCACACTTTCCAACCAGGAGCACCAATGGCTCTTCTCTCGTTTACAGGATGTGCGAGACGTCAGCGCCACGTGAGACTCCCCTTCTCCTAAATACCACTCACTCAGCCTCACTGTTGTTAGGCTTTAAATGTTCCGTTATTTTTTTCCCCTCTTAGAAACCCTTTCATTTTCACAGTTATGGGAAGAAATTGGGCCTCAGTTTCTTCCATGATTCCCGATGGTTATAGGAAGAAGAATGGCAAGAAGAGGAGAGGGTCTGTGGGTGGATAGATCCATTAATGGATAAGTAAATGAGCAATGCTTCCTGGGTTGAGGTTTTGGATTACTGTGGTCATGCACTGCATTGGAGATGAGGTGGAAAAACCATCTAAAGATCAGAAAACCTGAACAGGGTCAAAAGAAGAATGAGAAATGGAATATTAGAATAAAAGTGTTAAATCAGGCTCAAACTCAGGACAGTTTTGGAGCGAATTCTAGTGCATAGCAAGGAGCACAGAGCAGAGAGTCAATAGAAGTTATTGGCTAATGGAGTGAAGAAGTCACCAGCTCAGTGTACACCAGGGGCCAGTCAGCTGTTTAGCTGAGGTCCAGAAGTCTCATGAGACTCGTTTAAATCCTGTACAGGTTCCTTTCAGACCTGGAAGAGAACTTTGAGAACAATATCTTCTCCTTCCAAGTATGTGACGTAGTCCTGAACCACGCCCCAGACTTCCGCCGGGTCTACCTGCCTTATGTCACCAACCAGACCTATCAGGAACGCACCTTCCAGAGCCTGATGTGAGACTCATCCCCCATTTAATCCCCATGTAGGCCCTGAGGTGACCATGCACCAGTCCCCAGCCCAGAGGGCTATCCCAAGAGCACACTTTCCCCATTCCGCCCTCTGTATTGGTTACCCCAGCATCACATCTGAGCGCCCTGTACATCAGCTCCCACCGCTCTTTCCCAGCCCACAGATACTCCACTGACCTCCCTTCCCCGCACCTTCACTGCATCCCCCATTGCTCCCCATATCCCCCCTCCCCTAAGGCTCACTCTCCGTGCAGGAATAGCAACAGCAATTTCCGGGAGGTCTTGGAGAAGCTGGAGAGCGACCCCGTCTGCCAGCGCCTTTCCCTCAAGTCCTTTCTGATTCTGCCCTTCCAACGCATCACCCGCCTCAAACTGCTGCTCCAGGTAGGGCAGATGCTACCTTGATCCTCTCCCCTTAACTCAAAGGGATGCCCTCAGGAAGACCCACAACAAAGGACCAACCATTCTTCTGCCAGGTGTCCACATCCTGTCTCCCTGCTGCCCACTGCCTGCTTGCTTGGAAATATTTGCTGCTAAAATGTGGTCCCTGGGCTTCTCCATTCACCAGCCCCCAATCATTTCTTCCTGTTTCCCATTTCTTCCTCCCATCTCACTCCTGCCTACTGTCTGTTCAATAGAACATTCTGAAGAGAACACAGCCTGGCTCCTCGGAGGAGGCAGAGGCCACGAAGGCACACCACGCCCTGGAGCAGGTAGGCAGCCACCACCTCCACTCTGACCCTCTGTGTGTTCTTCTCAGAGAGGTCTTTCCCACCTAGGCCCATGACTCCAGGGAGCATGGGAGGTGGGACCCTGTTGGGAGAGCTCAGCCACCTCCCTGCATCCGCCAAACTTCCAAACATACACACCCCACGGCCACCTCTCCCACGCCGAGCACACTCCACATCAAGGGACTGTGCCCTCTCCACCATCACCCCCCCATTCAGTCTCACTTTTACTCAGTTCAGGAATGTTCTGCCAAGTCATACAAAGTTGCCTAGGACTTGTGCTTGATACTGCCTGCCCAATTCCAGCCTGGGAAAAATGACTGAGGCTGTCATAACCTATTTCCAGATTGCTTGCAAGGGACTCAAAGGTCAAAGCCTCTAACACAGTGCCCTTCCCCTTTCCTCACTCTCTGCACCCCTAGCTGATCCGGGACTGCAATAACAATGTCCAGAGTATGCGACGGACAGAGGAACTAATCTACCTGAGCCAGAAGATTGAGTTTGAGTGCAAAGTGAGTCGGTCCCATGCACCCCATCCCTGCCCATGAACTCCCTTAACATGTCCTGCAGATCACCCCCTAACCTGGAACCACCTTGCTCACATTATCCCCAGCCCCTCCCCTCATTTCTGCCCACCTTCTATTCTGTCCTATTTCTGGGAGGCCTACTTGGGTCTCCAAGACATACTGCTAAGTGAAATGATGAAGGTAAAGAATTGTGTGTATATTATATCACCTTTGGTATAAAAGTGGGAGGATACAAATCTATACAGGTGTCTGCTTGTGTGTGCATAAGGAAACTCTGGAAGGAGAACAAGAAAAAAAGGAACAGTGGTTACCTGAGGACAAGGGGGGTGCATTTGAGAAATGGGCAAATGAGAGAGAACTTTTCAGGATGAGCCTTTATAAAAGAATGTTTTGGTGCTTGATTCATTTATTACTTTATCAAATCTCTTTCTAGTCTAATCAAACCCACATAAGATTGGATCCAAATTTAGAGCCAGCATCCCTCATTGAAATACAAATCTAAAATAGACATTCCACATTCAAATTCCAACTTAGAACAGATACTATCTTTTTTTTTTTTTTGACAGAGTCTCACTCTGTCGCCCCAGGCTAGAGTGCAGTGGTGCGATCTTGGCTCACTGCAACCTCCACCTCCCAGGTTCAAGCGATTCTCATGCCTTGGCCTCCCGAGTAGCTGGGATTCCAGGTCTGCACCACCATGTCTGGCTAATTTTAGTATTTTTAGTAGAGATGGGGTTTCACCATGTTGGCCAAGCTGATCTCCAACTCGTAGCCTCAAGTGATCCACCCACCTCTGCCTTCCAAAGTGCTGGGATTATAGGCGTGAGCCACCACGCTCGTGCTTAGAACACATACTATCTTTACACTCCTGAAAAAGAAGGAAAATCCCTTATTCACATACTAAGCATAGACCACACCCTCATCTTTAACCAAATTCCAGCTCCAAGACGCCCCACCTAGTTCTTCTCACCCCCATGTTTGATTCCAGCTGCTCACATATCTCTGGTATAAAAAATGGAATTGATACCAGACCTGCCTCTAATATTTTATTTTAACCTCTAAGACACATATAGTGTTCACTGACTTGTTCCATCACATACCCTGATTGGACTCTTCCATCCCTCCTTCAGTTCAGGCTTCTAGGGCAGAGCTGTCCCACACACTCACTATCCTGAGTTGGACCATAGGCATCTTCTATTTACCTGAGCATACAACCATGGGAGCCACACACCAGTGGACAGTGGTAGTTAGAGGGTTCAGAGAGAAAGAGAATCTAAGTGATGGGTTATGAGCCAGAAGGCAGATGTGGAAGAGATGCTTGTTCAAGTGGAACTTGCATGGAAGTGGCATGGGGAGGAGGGTGGGACTGGGAGCAAACCTCATGCTTCTCCCATCTGTGACACTGCCTTCTCTCTCTTCCTCTGCCCTGTAGATATTCCCGCTCATTTCTCAGTCACGCTGGCTGGTGAAAAGTGGGGAGCTGACAGCCTTGGAGTTCAGTGCTTCCCCAGGGCTACGAAGGAAGCTGAACACGCGTCCAGTCCACCTGCACCTCTTCAATGACTGTCTGCTGCTGTCTCGGCCCCGAGAGTCAGTGACTGGAGTGGCAGGCCAGGGCACAAGAGGGGAAGGGGATGAGGAAAGAGGGGGGTCTGAAAGGGAGAGAGAAGGGTCATGTTCCTAGAAGAGCCCTTCTCAATGGCTTAACCCATAGAGCCCAGGTCATAGCCTAGAGAAGAGAAAAACAAGCCCAAAGCAAAAAGGGGATCCCATCAAACTGTATCATGAGACCACATAGCAGGACATGTAATATGGTATAGACACAGAGCAAAATGTAGCAAATTAGCTTATCACATTCTCACATGAGTCTATTTGTGGCTTCTTTGGACTGGCCTCAACCTGCTATTCTAGAGATACTTAGCTAATTCCAGAGCTTAAGTCTCTGGTCTTAAGGTTCTTGGGAAATGTATATAAATTCCATCTCTTCACCTCTTTAAAGTGGTAATGTATCCACTGCACTAGGTGTGTGGTTTGCCAGACTAGGACAAATCCCTGAGGACCCTGGAGCTACCATCTTGGGAGCAAGTTAGGACCATCTTATGGTTTTTGTGGGAATTTGCAGGCTGTAGATGTAGGGATTTCGAACCCAAGGTTATGAGGGTAGGTGAAGTATGGAAACTCTAGAATCAGGTTGAAAAGATTTGTATTTTGCAGGGGTAGCCGATTCCTGGTATTTGACCATGCTCCCTTCTCCTCCATTCGGGGGGAAAAGTGTGAAATGAAGCTACATGGACCTCACAAAAACCTGTTCCGACTCTTTCTGCGGCAGAACACTCAGGGCGCCCAGGCCGAGTTCCTCTTCCGCACGGAGACTCAGTGAGATGGGGCTGGGCAGAGGAGCTGGGGGTGGGGGAAGATGGGCAGCCGAGAAAAGAAGTGAGACCAAGGCAGAAAATGTGTCCAGAAGACAGCCACAGCCTCATTTAGCCCATTCTGGACTGGGGACCACCATAGAGAAATTCAGACTCCTAAAACTAATGGATAACTTGCAGGAGATTGGGGTGGGAGAGGGTACAAAGTCACCACCGAGGCTTAGCATCTATTTTATACTCTTTACTCAAGAGGGACAAGGTCTGTGTAGTATCAGAAAGGAGAAGGACTGGTATGGAGTGAGCAAGGAATTGGAATACTGGTATCTGTGAGCACATGCCTCCATGCCTGAGGCAGAAACCCTTCTATGCCCCAGCTGGTGGGCACAGATGTGAATAAGACAAGTGCTGGGTGACTTTTACTTTCTGTGCTCCCATCTTCCAAACCAGTCCTCTATTGACCAGAAATCCATAGTGTTGAGAATGCTGATTTGCTCATGTTTTCAATAATAATAAAATAAAATACATTCACACAGACATACATTTTTGAGAGTATTAATAGTACCTATAAAATCTGGAACACAGTGCCTGCAATAATGAACATGTAAAAGCCTGTAGCTGTTATTGCTATTATAAAAGATATATGAACAGTCATTTAAAAGTTTGACGTATCTAAGTGTTTGAGGATCCCTATGTTGTAGACACTTTTTCAGTTTTGTCCCTTGGAAGATACTTCAGAGTGGGACCGATAACACCTGTTCTCATTTATTGAACAGAAGGACTAGTATCGGAGTTTGTGTGCAAAACAGCACATAAGTCAAATAATCAGGTGCAGATGCATGTTGTTGGTTTGGTGCTTTGGGCACTGTGCCTGGAACAGTAATAGTCCATTCCCAGTTACCTAGGCACAACTGGGCACAGAGGCTAACAGAATGCAGAAACCTTCAGATGATTACAAACCTAAGCTTGGATTACACCGTGCAACAACAACAAATAAAACAGTAGACATATCTCCCTGATCTAATTATTATTATGAAACAATGATCATCTCTGAGATAGTTAGTTGAAGGGAGATAGGCAAGCGAGTGTCAAGAATCATGCCAAATGATGGAGGGAATCTAAACTGAAATGAACACTTCGCTTAGCACAATTTCCAAAACAGAAAATCTCCAGACTTTATGACTAATGAACATTACGCCCCAACTTGGAAGATATGAGAAGCCATTAGGAGGATAATTCTGGAAAGAGAAGAGGAAAAGTAAAGTGTGACAAGACACATTCACATATAGTTCAAGATTGTGTCATGTTTCCAACCAAAAAGAGTCCTATATAGTGTTTGATAGAAGTCATGGAACTAGATAAGTCCTTCCCACAGTCTTTTGCCATCCCCATCCTTGGCCCTCCTCCTACACCCCCACAATTGATGCTATGACCCTGCTTTGTTTTCTCAGAAGTGAAAAGCTTCGGTGGATCTCAGCCTTGGCCATGCCAAGAGAGGAGTTGGACCTTCTGGAGTGTTACAGTGAGTGAGGGTCTAAGAGGGAGAGAAAAGAAAGCAGGGTCAGATGTCACCTTTGGATACAGGAGTTTAAAGGGCTGGGTGGGAACTCTAGGCTTTCATTTATTGATATTCCGTAAAATGTCAGGGTGGAAGATTGGCCTCTAGAGCTTAAAAACCTGAAATATATCGCCTAAAACTGCTCATCACTATGGCAGTCCCCCTTCCCCATACATTCCCTTCCTTGGGCAATAGTTTGCTCTTTTTAAAAATATTTGTCCCCTTAAGTCTAAGCTGACATTATTTTGCCTAGATTTTACCTGCTTGAAGGTCTTGTTGGGGTAGGGGAAGAAAGCCTGACGGTGGTAGAAGGTGTGCAGGAGGATAGCACCCCAGATCTATCTTGACCACACCTAAGAGGATGACCTGAGGTCACCTACCCCAGGCTTCTGGGTGCCCATGGGGAGCCACAGGCACACACACATTATGTATGTGTCTGTGTTCACACCAAGACTGGACTTCTTATGCCTCTCATGTCAGCCCCACAGTTGTCCTCCAGCAAAGATTCCCTAATTTAAATCCAGAGAGAATCTGACCTCAACCCTGGACCTTTAGTGACTGAAAAGAACAAACAACTACAAGGAACCCTGGGAATGAAGTAGGAGAGCCGTGTAGTAACTGAACGCTGTTAACTTGCTCACTGTGCACTCCATCTGCTGGCTTCAGTTCCCCAGTGGGTGAGGAGGGCAGGAGCATTCTTCCTCCTTCATTTTGACCTTGTGAATGGCAGATGGGGAGGATCTTGAGAAAGCAAATAGTAATGCAGTATTCCATTTATTTTACAAGAGAATCAAGGCAGTGTAGTAACAAAAAAGAGCCATAAACCCACATATGATGGAATACTGATAGGTGAAGCATTCTCTGAGGCTTGTTTTCTTGAGCTTCAGATCTATGGACATGTCTCCTGGTTCTCAAAAACATAGAAATAGAGAAATCTTGAATGTCCTCAAGATTCATCTGATCAACCTTGATCAATAACCATCTTGATCACTGATAGATGAGTAAACTGAAGCTCCAGGGCTTTCAGTCTCTGGCTTAGGTCAAACCTGGGACACCACTAGTTAAGTCTTTCTTGGTTCCACATCTGGTACTGGGAAGAAAATGAAGAATAAGACACAGACTCAGATTTTATAATCCAGTTGGAGAGGCAAAACACGTCCATGTAGCAGTTAAATAAGGGATAAATGCCTTGGCATGAACAAGCAGTCTTAAAAGAGTTCAGAACCCATTGAAGACTAGAGTCAGGGACGGTTTCAGAGGGAAGATGGGTCATTAGCTGGATCTCAGGTATTTGAGATGATCACATGTATTTCTCAACCCGTCTCCTCTGGAGAAGTGGAATTTTTGGTCCATTTCATTTCTGGTATGTCTATTTCTTTATTAACCATTTTCAAATTTCCTCTTTTGTCTGTGACTTTCAACAGCCCAAATCTGTCTCTATCTCAAGTCCTCCCACGCCACCCCCCTCCAAGTCCCTGTCTGTGTTCCAATCCCCTGCCTCTCCTAACCTCTCTTCACACTCTTCTCTTCCAAAGACTCCCCCCAGGTACAGTGCCTTCGAGCCTACAAGCCCCGAGAGAATGATGAATTGGCACTGGAGAAAGCCGACGTGGTGATGGTGACTCAGCAGAGCAGTGACGGTAAGCGGGAGCATGCGTGAGCAGCAGGCCAGGCACTGCAGGCAGGGCAGTGCTGGGAGTGTGTTCACTTCCTGCAGCTGCCATGACAAAGTACCATGGACTGGGTGGCTTATGGCAACAGAAATGCATTCTCTCACAGTTCTGGAGGCAAGAAGTCCCAAATCAAGGTGTGGGCAGAGCCACGCGTCTTTTGAAACCTGTAGGGAAGATCCTTCCGTACCTTTTCCAGTCTGGTAGCCCCAGCTGTTCCTTGGCTTGTGGCAGCATCCCTCCAATCTCTGCCTCTGTCTTCCTGTGGCTAGCTGCCTTCCTGTGTCTGTGTCCAAGTTTTCCTCCTTTATTTTTTTATTTTATGTATTATTATTATTTTTGAGACAGAGTCTTGCTCTGTTGCCCAGGCTGGAGTGCAGTGGCGCAATCTTGGCTCACTGCAACTTCCAACTCCTGGGTTCAAGTGATTCTCCTGTCTCAGTCTCCCAAGTAGCTGCGTGAGCCACCACACCTGGCTAATTTTTGTATTTTTAGTAGAGATGGGGTTTCACCATATTGGTCAGGCTGGTCTTGAACTCCTGACCTCAAGCAGTCCACCCACCTCGGCCTCCCAAAGTGCTGGGATTACAGGCGTGAGCCACCACGCCCAGCCCAAGTTTTCCTCCTTTATATAGACACCTGTTATACTGGATTAATGGCCACCTTACTCCAGTATGACATCATCTTAACTTTATTAATTATATTTGTGGCAACCTCATTCCCCATAAGGTCACATTTTGAGGTATAGAGGATTAGAACATCAACATAAATGTTAGGAGGGACACGATGCAACCATAACAGTGGTGAAGGCTCAGGAATGGACAGCTGTAGACTTGGCCACACCCAGGGCCGCCATGTTAGGACACTTGGAGGCTGGGTTTATGCTGGAGGCTCCCCAGTTCACTCAGCCTGAGGATTCAGAAAACTCTCCAGGAAGGTGATCCAGAGAAGCTATCGTGAGCCTTTCCCAGGTAATTCTTCCCACTCACCCTGTGCCCACAGGCTGGCTGGAGGGCGTGAGGCTCTCAGACGGGGAGCGAGGCTGGTTTCCTGTGCAGCAGGTGGAGTTCATTTCCAACCCAGAGGTCCGTGCACAGAACCTGAAGGAAGCTCATCGAGTCAAGACTGCCAAACTACAGCTGGTGGAACAGCAAGCCTAAGTCTTCTCTGAGAGGAGTTTCGTGAGCTGAAGAACAAGCTGCTCATGGCAAGGGCTGGCCCCAGAACCCTGCAAGAGAGGCCTTCTGTGGATGGAGAACTAGGCCTTCTCAAAGCTCAAGGACAAAATCCAGCTAACCCAGTCCCTCGGCCCAGGCCTCCTTTCGTGCTTTGTGCTTGGTGGGGGGGATTTCGAGGGACTTTGCACTGGACTCTGGGAACCTTTCATCATTAAAAAAAGGGGGACCATTGGGGCCTGAGCCAAGGAACTTTCCTTCTACTGCCTTATAGTGCTTAAACATTCTCCGCCTCCAGGGTGCAGATTCAGAGCTGGCCAGAGTTTCAGTGATAGCCGTATGTTAAACAGAATCTCACCTCAGTCTCCTGGAGGGAGATGTTTAAGAGGGGTTAACACATCAGATGGGAGGGTCAGCCCGGTGACCTCTAAGGTATCTTCTAACCTAGAAATTCACCATAATTATGGTGCAAGGTCAGTGTGTCTCTGAGATCTATGTCTGTTGGTGGCAATGTGAGGGTGATACTCTCTCACTCTAATAAACTTGGCACTTCTCCGAGTATTTTCTTCTCAAACTCCTCAGCACTGAAAAAGGTTCAAAACATGGAATCCCGAGAGTTCCTGCCTGTTGGGTTTAGGTGTCATAAAAGTCTAAGGTGGTGCATAGGTGATGGCAGTTCCTGACTCCTGCTTTCTGACCCCTGAGAGTTTGGACAGATTTTCTGCTTGTTACAGCTTCAAAGGTTGTAGAAAAAGTTAGAAGTAATTGATAGGTGATGAAAACCCCATCTTTGCTGTACCCATAAGGTATAGGTATAGACTAGTTTGGGTGGATTGGGCAAATCCGACTCGGACCATCCATGATTTTATATTGTGACCTGAATTATTGTGAAAATATCTTCTCAGCTGCTTTAGCTTTCTTCTTTGTGAAAGGCAGAATGGAAAGAGGCCTGGGATCCAAGTCACAAGACCCAAACTGCAGGCCCCACACTGCCACAGTTCAACCCTTCTGTGTCTCTGTGCCCTGAAATGTAAAACATGGGCTTGAACCAAGTAACGTCCAAAGCCCTACTTAACTCTAACAAATGTGTTATTCTCTAGTTTCTTTCAGGTTGCCTGTCTCAGTTGAAGAATATGACTAAATTTTTTTCTCATTAGCATCCATATATAACAATACCATAGTCATCTTTTATGCCATCTTTTCATCTATAATAGTCCTTCCTTTGATACTCTACTACTCTGTTTCATATTTAGGAGGCTCAAAAGTAGAATTGCATTGCAGCCTCGTACAGAGGTAAGAATGATGCTATAAAATTTGTCCTAGGCCCACTTAACAATGATGTGACATATTTGTCGTCCTTTTAATAACACACACTGTTTTCAATGTATCCTAACATGTTAGCTTGCTTAATTTTTTATTTTTTAAATGTTTTAAGTTTAATTAATTTTTTTGTAGAGACAGGATCTTGCTATGCTGCCCAGGCTGGTCTCAAACTCCTGGCCTTAAGCAATTCTCCTGACTTGGCCTCCCAAAGTACTGGGATTACAGGTGTGAGCCACTGTGTTTGGCCAGTTTACTTTATGTTGAAAAAAATCATCACCATAACCATTAAGATGTGGGCTAGGCTGGATGTGGTGGCTCATGACTGTAACCCTAGCACTTTGGAGGCCGAGGCGGGTGGATCACCTGAGGTCAGGAGTTCGAGACCAGCCTAGCCAACATGGTGAAACCCTGTCTCTACTAAAAATACAAAAATTAGCTGGGCATGGTGGTGCATGCCTGTAATCCCAGCTACCCAGGAGGCTGAGGCAGGAGAATTGCTGGAACCCAGGAGTCAGAGGCTGCACTGAGCCAAAATTGTGCCACTGCACTCCAGCCTGGGCAACAGAGTGAGACTCCATGTCAAAAAAAAAAAAAAAAAGTTGTGGGCTAATATTATTTTATCATAAACAAGATGACATTGCTAAAATATCCAAAACAGGATGGTTTTAGAGAAGTTCAATTGAGGTTTTTCACTCTTTTCAAAAAGCCAGATTTTTAAAGTAAATAACATGTATTATTTGTATATGCTATAATTTGCATATACTAACATATAAAATAATAATTGATTCATATTGATTGCAATAACAATAATTATAATCCAAACTATTTGTACAAACCAGTATTTGAATACTGGCCATATGGCTCAAACAGTTCCATATCCAGCCCTATATTATTTTCAAGGCAAATTCTCCATTATTTTCTCAGAGAGGTACAATAGCAGCTTCTGAATGCAAATAATTTTTTTGAGTTGCATGGCTGCTGCTTTGCTTGAAGTTGTTAAGGCTTTCTCATCCTTTTGAACATAAGTTCTGTAAGACTTCTAACTAAAACTATTCTTTAGATTTTTAATATGTATTCATTTAATTGGGTTATACTCACCTAATCTGGGATATTAGAAAGCATTAGGCTTTACCTGTCTTTTAAGTCCTTGGTTAAAAAAAGAAAAAGAGAAATTTAGATATGAGTAATGTCTCTTCGGTTGAATTACTGAACTATACTTTAGGTTTAGAAAAATTGAATATAGGTTCACTCATTGTCCTCTCCGTCTTCAAATTTCCAGAATTGAACTCAACTTCTTCAGTGATTACTGGAACCATTACATGGCCATTTCTTAAAAGAGATTATGAAAACAATCATTAACCAAGACTTTTTGGACAGAACTGCATTTGAAGCATGTATGATTATACAGTATTTTGTTGCTTTCTTAAGCAAAACAATGCATTGAGTAGTGTCTTCAGGAGACAAAAATAGTTCTATTCATAGAACCTTTTCTGAATTGTAATATGCTTGGAGCTTAAAATCATATAGATGTGTGCTCAATTATTTTATTTGTGCACTTGACCACACTGGACTTCTGTCATTTTTGCCTAAGCACACAGCTTAGAAAGCTATTTTTTTAAGTTTATTTTTACTACCAACTTTTACTTAAAGTTAACTATGACCTTTAGCTTTTAGCTGTGCACTACTTGCTCTGTCTTGGCCATTTATAGTGATTTTAATAAGACCAGCCTGCAAGTATCTGGAAGGCACACCGTTTAATATGTGTTTATTTTCCCTAATTTTGTTTTTTGTCTCAAATAACTTTTATATCCATGACAGATAAAATGAATCTGAGTTCTATGACTGATTTTGTTTTAAATTAGCCTTTAGGATAGAAGTGGTTAAAAAGTCTTTTAAGGCTGGGTACAGTGGCTCACGCCTGTAATCCCAGCACTTTGGGAGGCTGAGGCGGGCAGATCACGAGATCAGGAGATTGAGACCATCCTGGCTAACCAGGTGAAACCCCGTCTCTACTAAAAATACAAAAAATTAGCCGGGCATGGTGGCAGGTGCCTGTAGTCCCAGCTACTCGGGAGGCTGAGGCAGGAGAATGGTGTGAACCCGGGAGGTGGAGCTTGCAGTGAGCTGAGATCACGCCACTGCGCTCCAGCCTGGGCAATAGTGTGAGACTCCATCCCCCAAAAAACAACAACAACAACAAAATGTCTTTTAAAACCCTGATTACATTTGCTGGTTCCCCTTCCTTTGCACACATATTTACCCCCTTAAATAAACTTGATTCCCTGAGGGACCTCATGTTGGTCTGTTCTTTTTTTTTTTTTCCCTGAAATGGAGTCTTGCTCTGTCACCCAAGCTGGAGTGCAGTGGAGCGGTCTCAGTTCACTGCAACCTCCGGCCCCTGGGTTCAAGCAATTCTCCTGCCTCAGCCTCCCGTGTAGCTGGGATTACAGGCGCATGCCACAAAATAATTTTTGTATTTTTAGTAGAGACGGGGTTTCACAATCTTGGCCAGGCTGGTCTCGAACTCCTGACCTCGTGATTCACCCACCTTGGCCTCCCAAAGTGCTGGGATTACAGGCGTGAGCCACCGTGCCCGGCCTGGTCTATTCTTGATAGTCTGTGTGCTTTTTAAGTATTTAGTGATGTTGCCCTTATCATAAACTCCTCTTGTTTATGGGGTCAAATGAGAATTCCAGTGTTTTGATATAGTGGCCCTTCACAGACAGTTATTCCCCACCCATCCCCTCAAGACACACCACTGAGACTTGTGCAGGTTTATACTTGTTGATGTTTCAGACTTACACGTAAATATCTTTTGTGGTGGTAACTCTGCTCTATCGCTAACACAGTCCAGTGACCCCAGAGCCACACTGGCTGTAAACATGACTCAGAAGCTGTGTGATTACAGCAGTTCCAAGCCTGTAGTTGAGGGTAATCTTCTAACTCTGAAGTCAGGTGTGTGGAAGGGCCGAAGGTTATGAGTAAATGAGCTGAAGAGAGACAGATGCCAAACTCAGTCGTGATTCAAATGCACTTCTTGCTTAGATTTAGAAAACATTCTCTATGCTTAATAGTCTTTGACCCATTTTTTCCAACCCGCCCATTGTAAATGACAGTCATGGAGTGGAAATTTCCCTAGCTTCTTCCTTGGAAGAGCATCCATTCACCCTGCAGTTCCCAAGGAGCGTCGCAAAAACGAGGCTAAGGGCACAGACAAAACTCGGGCAGTGAAGGTGAGTGAGTGAGGTTGTTGATTCTGGGTGGCTGTGAGTGGGGCATCTGTGTAGGAAAGGAGCCGGGTTGGTGTGCGTTACAAACTTTTTCCGCGCTGCTGGGGTGGGGGTAGCTGGTGTCTGCTGCTCCATGAATGAGTCATGGGCTGAGGGTAGAACTTGCTCTAGGGAGGGGCTGCGTCTGGCTCACAGCATTCTCCAGGAGCACCAAGGGGCAGATGAATATTTTCTGGCAGTTTACCTGAGCATTTCAGAGAGGCAACTAGCTCTGAACAATGCAGATGGAAACCCAGAAGGAGAGAGGGAGCCAGTCCACATGGTGTGCTGAGATGGGGGCTCTGCATTTGCTCAGACCAAGGGGCTCCTGAGCACCAGGGAGAACATTCAGACTGTTGGGGAAAGGGTGGGCAAGAGCAACAGACCGTGGGATATTGTGGGAGAGTCATAGCAGCTCAACAGGACAGACTGTAGGCTATCCCAGAAGCAGACAGTCTCAGGGAGAAAAGGGAAATGCAGAAAGCAAAGAAATGATGGGCCCTCAGTGGGACTCAGCCAGCCCGTTCTAAAGTACTTTCTTATTGAGATCAACGTGTGGTGCAAATGAGAAAATTATCCACTGCTGGATTTGAAAGAACCTTGAAAGTCTTTGTGTCTAACACCCTCACTGGTTACAGTGGAGCCTGGAGAGGGGAAGTGATTTACCTAAGGTCATACAGTCGGTTGCTTATAAAGGACAGATTTGTCCAGCTCTATGTCCACTGCTAGGATGTAAGCAAGTGACCTGCTGAGCTTGTGCTCATCACCCAAAGGGTGAAGGTGACCTGCCATACACTGCAAAGGTTGAGTGAACAGAAAATGCACAGGCAGAATATTTTTGAGAGAGCAGGAGGAGGTGGTGGTCAGACTTGTGGAATTGTTAATAAGCAGGTTTGGGTTATGGAATTGAGCTTAGTCAGGCAACATGATCCAGAAAACACGAATCAAGGTGGTGTTTTCAAAGCAGTTCATTGTCCTTGCACAAGCAGGGCCTTAAAGAACTGAAGAGTCCTCTGTGTGTGTGTGTGTGTGTGTGTGTGTGTGTGTGTGTGTGTGTGTGTGTGTAGAGGTGGCTGCTTAGATTCAAGGGAGGAGAGTACAAACAGATCTTTGGGAGAAATGGGATTTATGCAGTAAGACTGGGCTTCCTCCCCGAAATAAAATAATACTTGTGATGGGCTCAGTGGCTCACCTCTGTAATCCCAACACTTTGGGAGGCTAAGGTGGGCAGATCCCTTGGGCCCAGGAGTTTAAGACCAGCTTGGGCAACATGGCAAAGCCCCATCTCTACAAAAAATTTAAAAATTAGCCAGGTGTGGTGGTATGCACCTGTAGTCCCAGCTACTGGGGAGGCTGAAGTGAGAGGATAGCTTGAGCTCAGGAGGTTGAGGCTGCAGTGAGCCATGATCACGCCACTGCATTCCAGCCTGGACAACACAGCAAGACCCTGTCTCAAAAAAATGGATTAAATAAAATAATATTTGCATTAACAAATATTAGGGGAAAAAGATAAGGTGTGTTCCAGTTAAGAAACCAAGAGAAATGAATATATATATTGAGATAGGATGTCACTCTTGCCCAGGCTAGAGTACAGTGGCATAATGTCAGCTTACTGCAGTTTTGACTTCCTGGGCTCAAGTAATTCTCCCACCTCAGCCTCCCAGAGTAGCTGGGACTACAGGCATGTGCCACCATGCCCAACTAATTTTTTTGATTTCTAGTAGAGATGAGGTCTTGCTATGTCACCCAGGCTGGTCTTGAACTCCTGAACTCAAGTGATCCTCCCACCTTGGCCTCCCAAAGTGCTGGGATTACAGGCATGAGCCACTGCACCCTGCCAAATGTATATTTTTTTAAAGTGTTTGACAGTCATCTTTTGAATATGGTTCTGGGAACATTTTTTGTTTATCGGGTATGAAAATATACCTGATCTCACCAATTTAAGTAATTTATAGGAAGTAATAGAAAAGTCAGACTAAAATGAACAATCTGTTTTGTATGGGGCAATGAAGTGAAATAATGAAATAGTCAAATTGGAATGCTTGGAAACATTAAATGCTTGTTGTGGTTGGTAGCTCAGATGAAGGGGCTTTTGAGAAACAGAGGATTGTATCCCTGGCAGGCTAGATGAATATGGGTTGGGGTAAGGGTGCAGGAGCTTGAGAAGGGGCACTTTGGGTAGAATTATGTGGAAAGAATGACATAAAAACCAATAGAATGAAAGTGTACCAGAAAGCACTCTAGAATCTCTGTGGGTGGAAATTCCATTCTTAGATAATGAAGCTGTGGCAGTAGGAATGTATGTGAGGCAACCTGCCAGGGTAATGAGATGAAGAAACAAATAAAATGTAAAGGCTACAGAATGAAGAAGCAAGTAAGGTGTAGATGCCACAACCCTGGGTCTGACACCAACTCCTCCCCTGGGCTTGTGTATTTTGCACATCTTACTCCCAGATGCCTGGGCTCTGAAACCCAGAGTCCGTTTGATATTCTCTCCTCCTCACTCATGCAGTCAACTCATTGATTTCTTCACAGCATTGATCACATTGACTGCTTTCCTATTTCCCTACTGCTGTTTTGGTCTCGGTCCCCTCATCTCTGGGTACTGGAATGACTTCCCCACTGGTCCATCTACTCTCAGTCTTTTCACCCACAATCTATCTGGAAGAGTGTTCCACAGTCTCAAATTTGACTTTATATTATTTACCCCCCTCGTTGTCTACCAGGTAATAATGCTGGGCCCAACCTAGCCATCCAGCGTCCATGAGCCCCCTCTGTTTCTCACACTGCTCCTTAGGTTACACGTTCACTAACCTCACTACCTGTTCTTCTCACACATCCCAACTCCCTTTCTAGTTTTGGAACATTCAGCTTCCTGCTCCCTTTGACGACTATTCTCTCTTGCCTCTTACATATCACAATAATGTGTCTATTTCTTTTTAAATCAAACTAAACAGTACTGAGTATTTAAGTTATTTAAACACAGACCCAGGGCCTGTGGAAAGATTTGATTCTAGCTCAAATCTAGCTTATACCCACTCTTTTCTGACATGTCCCACCCAATCCCAGCTTTTGACCTTCTTTAACACCTCCTTCTAAAACTATCACTAGACATTGCTTATTGCAGTTGACACCTCATGAATGGGCTTAAATCATGTCCAGAATGTATTCCTTTTGCAACTTTGGGCAAATAACTTCAATCTCTCTGAGTCTCAGATTTTCAGTTGTCAAATAAAGAATACCTTATACGGTGGTTGTGAAATAAAATTACCTAGCAGAGAGCTAGATACATGATGAATGCCAAATAAATAGCTAGCATCATCATTAATATTTTGCCTAAGGACCAATTTCTGGATTAAGTAAGCTATTTCAGCTCCTGATGGTTTTGTAAAACATACAAGCACACAAAATTGGCTATCATTTATAGCCTTTTACTTGTTAAGGCTCTTTCAGTTTTTTCAAAGATATATTAGCATTCCCAAAGCAAGACTCTTCTATCTGCACTTGCTGAAGTGGAGAATAAAAAACTAAAAGACTTCTATCTAGACTTGGTCAAGGCATTTATTTTAATTTCATTTTCTTAAAAGATAATTGTAAGATAATTTTTAAAATAGAGATGGGGGTTGGGAGGGGGGGGTGGTCTCGCTATATTGCCCAGGCTGGTCTTGAACTCCTGGACTCAAGTCATCCTCCCACCTCGGCCTCCTAAAGTGCTGGATTACAGGCATGAGCCACCACACCTGACCTTGGTTAAGGCATTTTTAGGTAATCGTTTAAACCTGTTTCTTGCTCTGTGAATTTGGATAATTGCATTTATATTTTCACACCTGTTCAACCTCCCTCCCCAGGACCTATGGCCCTGTTTGGGCTTTTGATCATTTCCCAATCCAGCACCTCTTGGAGCTCTTTCTACTTGTACTCTCAGGCTGTCCCTGACCCATTATCAATGCCACTTTTTCTTCTGCCCAGTGCTCCTTCACTATGTTGTTCTTTCCGTAGGAAACATAGTGAGCCTGCCTAAGACCAGTTTTCTTCCTGCTACGTGCTGTGCCTGCGTGACTTTCTCTTGACTTGAACTAGTGTTCTCTATGCTGAATAGGCCTAAGAGCTGCCTTTGGTCTTTTTAGTCCTTGTCTCTGTTACAGACCCTAGTTCTATATTTTTCTTACAACAAAGATCTGTAAGTTCTACCCTATGGGGGGAACTTACAGACCCTACTCTACCCAGATAACCACTTATCTAACCAGATAACTACAGAAATTTTATCCTCAACATATATAAACGAACTCTCCTTTTCCCTAAATTTGCTTCATCTCTGATATGGTCTGGATGTTTGTCCCTTCCAAATCTTACGTTGAAATGTAATTCCCAATGTTGGAGGTGGGGCCTGGTAGAAGGTGTTTGGGTCATGGGGGAGGATCCCTCATGAATAGCTTGGTGCTGCCTTGCAATCATGACTGAGTTCTCGCTTTGATTTCATGCCATATATGGTCATCTGGTTGTTTAAAGGAGTGTGGCACCCTCCTCCTCTTCCCTTGCTTGTTCCTGCTCTCCCTTTGCCTTCGCCATGACCCTGCACTTTCTGAGACCCTCACCAGGCAAATGCCGCCACCATGGTTCCTGTACAGCCTGCAGAACCGTGAGCCAGTTAAACTTCTTTTATTTACCCAGCCTAGCAATGCAAAAATGGCATAATACAATCTCCATTATTTTTTCTCAATTATAGCATTTCTTAGTTACCAAAGTCTTATTTTCTTTCAGTTAATTATCTACCACATTATATTGATTCTGACTTAAATATTCGTCAAAGCTGGGCACAGTGGCTCACACCTATAATCCCGGCACTTCGGGAGGCTGAGGTGGGTGGATCATCTGAGGTCAGGAGGTCGAGACCATCCTGACCAACATGGTGAAACCCTGTCTGTACTAAAAATACAAAATTAGCCAGGTGTGGTGGCGCATACCTGTAATCCCAGCTACTTCGGAGGCTGAGGCAGGAGAATCGCTTGAACCTGGGAGGCGGAGTTTGCAGTGAACCAAGATAGTGCCATTGCACTCCAGCCTGGGCAACAAAAGTGAAACTCCATCTCAAAATATTCCTCAAGTCTGTTCGCTCTTCTCTCTTCACCCTGCCCTACTCTACACATCTCTCAGTGAGGCTGTCTCAGCAGCCTTGGATTATGTCCCTGCATCTCCTCTTTCCTTCTATCAATCTCATTCTCTGTTCAACTTTCTTTTTTTTTTTTTTTTTTTTTTTGAGACAGAGTCTCGCTCTGTCACTAGGCTGGAGTGCAGTGGAGCAATCTCGGCTCACTGCAACCTCCACCTCCTGGGTTCAAGCAATTCTCCTGCCTCAGCCTCCTGAGTAGCTGGGACTACAGGCACACACCACCATGCCCAGCTATTTTTTGTATTTTTGGTAGAGACGGGGTTTCACCATGTTGGCCAGGATCATCTCAATCTCTTGACCTCGTGATCCTCCCACCTCAGCCTCCCAAAGTGCTGGGATTACAGGCATGAGCCACCGTGCCCGGCCTGTTCAACTTTCTAAAACACAAATGTGGGCGAGTCATGCCCATGAGTTAAAACTGCCAGTGCCACTGTTTGCCCAAAGAATACATGCAAACACTCAGCATCGTGTGAGGCCTTTCCCAATCTCCCTGCCAGCCTCATCTGCCACCCCAGCCCCTCCACTCAAACCCTACCACTCTGAGCATCTCTCTCATCCTCTTACCAATCTCAGTGGTCTTATACTGGCTATACTTTCTGCCTGAAATATCCTTCCTTCCTTCCTCTGCTTATCCAGATTCCACTGTTCCTTCACGAGCTAGCTTTAATGCCTTAGACTCTAGAGCTTTCTTACGTGGCTTTTCCTCCATTTGAGTTCCTGCCACTCTTTGTTCCCAGGCTGGCACCTCACAGCATTGGCCCCCTGTATTGTAACTGGTCATGTGATTGTCAGACTCCCCAGAGAGAGTGGCAGTTCCCTGAAAGCTGAGACGAGATTTTGTTTATCTTTGTGCTGACCCAGTACTGTCTGTGCCTGTAAACCCCCGTCACCTGATGGAATGGATGTCTGCCCTATATCTCAGGGCTTTGTTATAAACTCAAATGAAAGGATATTTATGAAAGAACAGTATGAACTAAACTACAAACACAAGAACGCTGAATCTCCCGGACTGGCCCTCTGGACTCGAATATCAGCACTTGGGGATGAATGAAGAAGGTGCATCATTTCCAGGGAAGCAGATTTGCTGTTGACTAATAAAGACCATTTACTTGGAGTGGGGCCAACAAAAGCCTAATTGTCTTTTGTAGCCTGTTTCTGTTTTGTGTTCCATTTCCGCAAATAATATTTAAATAGACATTTAAAATTAATTCTAATGGGCTATCTCATAAAATTATCTGAATAACTAATATAAAAGATTCAGGGCCAGGTGAAGTGGCTCAGGCCTGTAATCCCAGAACTTTGGGAAGCCAAGGCAGGAGGATCACTTGAGCTCAGTCTGGGTAACATAGTGAGACCCCAACTTTACAAAATATCAAAAATTTAGCCGGGCGTGGTGGTGCTTGCCTGTAGTCCTAGCTGCTCGGGAGGCTGAGGCGACAGGGTTGCTTGAGTTCAGGAGGTCAAGGCTGCAGTAAGCCATGATCATACCACTACACTCCAGCCTGGGTAACAGAGTGAGACTCTGTCTCAAAATTAAAAAAATATTCAGCCTACAGGAACAAAAAATAGAATGGGGATCAAACAGTTTTAGAACATGAAAGGAAATGATTTTTTTGGACAGTTGCAGAGCCTGTATGAGAGTCCTAATGGTGAGGGGTGGGGTGAGGAGTTACTAAAATGCCAGCAGTGAACCCAGGGCTGCCTAGGCGTCTGAACAGTAAGAAAGTTGGGTAAAACATGGAGGCCAACTTCAGGATTATCTGTTTGAACTGCAAAACTAACATGGATGTAGATGTCCTTAGCAAAGTGCTACAACTAGGATTTGCCAGGTTTAGCAAAAAAAAAAAAAAAAAAAAAAATTAAAAATGCAAGATATCCAAATAGTGCAGGGAACAGGCTTATGCTACAAAATTATTTGTTGTTTTTCTGAAATTCGAAGTTAACTGCACATCCTTTTTTTTATCTGGAAAACCAAGCTATAACCCAAATGACTTCAACAACTTTGAGCCCGATATTATTGACAGGATGGGGCTCTGGGGCATTTTGGAGAAAGAATTGAGGAAGATTCGCGTGGACTCTTCTTGCTGTAAACAACCAGAGTAGTTTAGGGCCACAGTGAAACTGGTGGTAGATTGCCATCTAGTGGAAAGATATTAGTAGTGAAAGCTAAAATTGGAGGACTGGACAGATTTTTTGTTTTTTGTTTTTTGGTTTTTTTTCCGGAGTTTGCCAGGAAGGATTCCGCTCTGGCCAACTGCAAAGTCCTGAGGTTGCACTGTTAGACGAGGAGGACATGGGTGGGGGGAAGGGAGGGTAGGAAGCAGATGGAATAGGAGCAAGGCTGAAATGCGTTTACCTCGTGTTCTAAGCAGAGTGCCTGGACCATTGTTCCATTCCAGCATGCAGAAACTTTGCTCCCTCTCCACGCAAAACCAGAGCAAAAGCTAGAGCTTCCTGTAAGAAGCGCAAGATTCTTCCACCTGAGGATGGCTCAAAGTGATGTGGAACTATCAGAAACAAAATTGTAAAGATATAATCACTCATCGTTACAACCAGCGACAAAGGAAGTCATCCAAAAGGTGACAGTGTGGCTGGCTACACAGGCAAGCTCAGATCTTGAAAAGGTTGAAAAAATGCAAAAGTTAAAAGAAAGCACACACTGGAATTCCAAAGACGGTATCTCAAAGTGAGAAGCCTGGAAGAAACTCCGCTCTGCAAGCATGCTGAAGACCAATACGAACAGTAACACTAGCAATGATAATAATAAAGCCAAACTTGGGACAGGAAGGAGAGAGAAAAGAGAAATGTACTCCTGCGGGCAGACATCATAATGTCAACATACAATACAAACACAGCAGATGCACTTGAGTTTTATTTCAGACTATCTTCCCAAAGAAATGAAAATATTCTAGAAATTAAAAGAGTTGGGCCGGGCGCAGTGGCTCATGCCTGTAATCCCAGCACTTTGGGAGGCCGAGGCAGGTGGATCACGAGGTCAAGAGATTGAGACCAGCCTGGCCAACATGGTGTAACCCCATCTCTACTAAAAATACAAAAAGTAGCTGGGCGTGGTGGCACGTGCCTGTAATCCCAGCTACTCGGGAGTCTGAGGCAGGAGAATCGCCTGAACCCGGGAGGCAGAGGTTGCAGTGAGCCGAGATCATGCAATTGCACTTCAGCCTGGGCAACAGGGTGAGACTCTGTCTCAAAAAAAAAAAAAAAAGAGTTGGATAAAAAAAAAAAATAATACTAAGATGGACTTAAAAACCCAAATTGGAGCCTTATAACTTTTAAATCATCCTATATGTTTTCTAGTACAGGACAAGAGAGGGTTTCTAAGACTTACTAGAGGCAAATATCCTAATTTCCAATGACATGATTTGTTGAAACTAAAGGACAATAAATTTAATGTAAAATCTTATGGAATTCTATGAGATTCTTGAAAAATGGCTTATGAACACTTAGGTAAAAATTAGCCAGAAAAGACAACAGGTGTTCTAAGCTAATCTGTCTCATTTGTTATATATTTAGGTTTACAAGAATGTTATATTATCAGAGTGCTATACAGAGAATATGTTTTTGATTTTATTGAATCATAGAGGAGTTTTATTCCTAAATCCTTGAGGGAGATAGTAAAGGATGGTATGGGATGATAATACAGTTAAGGAAGATTTGTAGCTAGTTTAACCCTCTATACAAAAAAAGAAGTACCCATTAATGGAGTATTTTCAAAGAGGAGTACCAAAATGTCCTGTGCTGACCTATATTCTGTTTACTAATTTATTAATGATTTGATTATAAAATGTGTAAAACATATTGATCAGATCTGCAGGCAGAACAAAACTGCAAAAAAATGGCTAATATTATATAAGAACTCCAGAGCATCTTAAGCTCAATATTGGGCTAAAATTAACAAAATGAAACTGAACAGGCCATATAAATCTCTGTATGTTTAGATTAGAAATGTTAATTCTCCAAGTGCAAAATGAGGAGGGTGAACTGCCTTTAAAACAGCTTCTGTTTAAATGACCTAGAGGTCATAGTTTTGGACCAAGAATATGAACCAGCTGCACAAAAATGCTAATGTGTTTTAATAGAGACACCATTTGTAGGGTATCCTATTTAATGGAGATGACAGCTGTACCAAAATGTTGACCAGACCACATTCAAAGTAGGCTTCATTTCTGACACCACTCCTAAAAGGAACATGGGCAAACTCACATTTATTTGAAAAGAGGCATACAGGGTGGCAAAGAGCCTGGAGCCCGAGCCCCATGAGGGCTAGCAGACAGAGCTCCCACCATCACCTGTAGAAGGCAAAGCTTTTATAATAGGAATGATATACAGTCCTTAGATTTGTGATTTATTTTTTGTAGTACTTGGAAAACAAAACCCAGATCAATCAAACAAGATATTGGTTTATTTCTAGTAGAAGAATTTTATAATAAAGCTCTTCAAAAATTCTGCAGGTTCTTGTGAAAGGGAGTTAGCCCCAAGCCTCGGGCCCTCCACTGGGAAAACAATACTGAATGATGCCCCATCAATGGTGGGTAGAAGAGATTCCTGCAAGTCAGGAGCTTGGATTTTTTCTTTCACCCCTAAGTTTCCATGCTTCTAAGAAGTTTTCACGATTTTCTCTTTGTTTAGTGTTTGTTTTTAATTCTCAATTCATTTTATTTTTAGTATACTATTAAATCAACACTTTTTATCTAAGAGTTGCATGTAAGGACAGATGTCAAAGTTGATTTCCGTTCGATTCTTGGTGTTAGATGCTGTATTTGCTCCATACAAAGGTGCTGCTAATCATTGAATAGCGGGAGCATGAACCAATTAAGATCTGGAGGAGAAAATATCCAGCCACCATGTAGGGCTTTGAAAGCAACGGAATGCTCTGGTGATTAATAGAAAGAGCAGTTACAGTCTTCCATCTATTTTGCCCTATGTCTGTCTTTAGGCTGTTCATTTCATGAGCCTCATGAGACAGAATGTGAAAACAAAATGAGATATGTAAATATATACTTTTAAAAACTCAATTGTTATGCATCATAAAACA
Source organism: Homo sapiens (assembly GCF_000001405.40). Lineage (NCBI taxonomy): Eukaryota > Metazoa > Chordata > Mammalia > Primates > Hominidae > Homo > Homo sapiens. Next base: position 144,394,887 of record NC_000007.14, read on the forward strand.
TTTCATAATTTAACAAATACATATCCTAATCCCTAAATTAAGGGTACTGAAACCTGGCTATTACAATCTCCATCACATATCCGCCAAGTCGACCTTCTGGTTTTCTCCTGACTTCTGCCCCTCTGGTGGATTTCTGCATTCTTTCAGAGACATTTTCTCATTGGCTTGCACTTATCTATTGTTTTAATCACACCTCTCTAATCCCTAAACACTCCTCTTCTTTATCTATTAGGAGGACATTGATCTTTATAACTATTTACTGACTCTCCCCCTTTTCATATTCATCTTCCTGTCCCTTCAGCTTTTTTTTTTTTTTTTTTTTGAGATGGAGTCTCGCTCTGTCTCCCAGGCTGAAGTGCAGTGGCGGGATCTCGGCTCACTGCAAGCCAAGCTCCACCTCCCAGGTTCACCCCATTCTCCTGCCTCAGCCTCCTGAGTAGCTGGGACTACAGGCACCCGCCACCACACCTGGCTAATTTTTTTTTTTTTTTTTGGATTTTTAGTAGAGACGGGGTTTCACCATGTTAGCCAGGATGGTCTCGATCTCCTGACCTCGTGATCCACCTGCCTCGGCCTCCCAAAGTGCTGGGATTACAGGCGTGAGCCACCGCGCCCGGCCTTTCTCTGCTCGTTTTCCATTCCACTTTCTGACTCCTGTGCCATCTCCTGTCTCTCCCGCCCCCTAGCCTCTTTCCTTTGTTCCCTTCCTGACCTGTTCTTTCCTACTTTAGTACCTCTCAGGTCCCTTTCCTCCAATCTCCAGATCTGTGCCTTACCTTTTCTTTTCTGTTTAGATGTATTTTAGGATAGATTTTTCTTCTGTGGTTATCTTTCTCTTTCATCACCCAGTCAATGTTTTGCTGCTTCTTATACTACTGTCTTCACCCTTCATTCATCTTTCTGGTCCTTTTCAGTCCCATCTCGCCCTTCTCCCAGGCACCACCCACTTCTCTTTTTATACAAATTGGTTGTTTACCCTCCTTCTCATGCTCCCTTTAGCCCTTAACATACTAAAGCAGGATCTCAAGCATAGAACCAATAAGGTCTAATTGATGTTTCTTCCTTCATTGCCTAATTTGTCATTTGCCTAATTTGGCTCACCACCAGAGGACGGAAGGAAGTTATTCAAGTTCAATGTGGATGCAGAATCACTCTGTGCAATGGAACAGGAGGGTGGTACATCCTCAGTCAGTGTCCATTCTTTCCTGAGCTCCTGACCCCTTGTGCAGACATCTAGGGAGCATTCTCCATCTTTGGTTAAGTTCTCTCTTGTTCCCTCCTCTTCCTACATCTCAACCTATAACCAAACCTCCCGAGATTAGCACCCAACCTCAAACGGTAACCATAAACAAATGGAGGAGGTAAAATTGCAGTCTATGGGTGAGAGTTAAGCATGAAATGGTTGGTGATCATTTTAGGGGGTGATCTCTCAAGGTGCTTAGCAAAGTGTCTTTTGGTGCCTCTGCAAGCTAGGGTGGGAGAGACAGAGAACATTCTGGACCCTTCGTCCTGGCCCAGTGAGGTCTGGGCCATTATAGTCTGGGGATGCTGTCACATCCTCCTGTGCGGGAGAGAACTGTCTACTTGCTATCCTCGGAGTGCTCCCCAGCCCCGCCCCCCATACACAAAAACAAGAGCTGTGGGAAAATAAGTCCTAGTTCACAATACTAGAGAAGTGACTTCAGATATTCTCAGGCTTCTCTTGTGATCCTGTCCCTATGGGGCCCAACTTCCAGAGAAAGGCCCAGACTCAGATTTGCTCAGAGTCAGTCATGGGTTTGGGAATAGAATATGGTTAAATGTCAGGACCGAAGGAAAAGCCCAAGATGCCCAGTTCCTTCTTTAGTGGGAGAGATGAGCCCAGGGAAGAGGCCCTCCATGTGGTCATGCCTGGTGGTGCCCACTTGAGAATGGCATCCAATGACTGCTCAGCCAAGTGGAATAAAAGGACGAAAATGGAGCTCTTCATTAGTGTGAGTGTGGAGACACATAATGGAGACACATAACCACAGAGAAAACCGCAGGACGGACTAGTTTACTGCTTACGGTGGACACTCCAGCTCATTTGTCAAGCAAGGATAGGAAACAAACAAAAACACCTGATACAACATTCAGAAGTAACACAGGCCACCTGCTTCCTTCAGGACCCCCACACAGAGTGTGAAGAAAAGGGAAGCGCCAGCCCTCTTTCTTCCTTCTCATATCAACAAGACGAGCCTACACAGGGGAAACGTCTAACTCTCCCCTCAGTCTACAGAGTCCACACTCTTTCCCAAACCCCCAACCCCTGTCCTCTCAGCGAGCCCAATCCTATCCCACCCAAGCAGCCTCTTTTCACTCTTTGACCCCCCAACTAGGGGACATGGCTATTCTTGTCATCCCCTCTGGCCTCCTCCAGTGCTGAGGGCTGATCCAGGGAAGCAGCTGGTGGTTCCTCTTTTGCCTTGCTGAGTAAGGGCCCAGTCCCTGGTCTGGCCCCTTCAGGCATCCATGAGAGAGCTGACGAAGGCTGCCTGCCCAGAGCCTGGGGGCAGGGAGTTGGAAATAGATCAGGAAAGTAGCCATCCCCTCCTGGGGGATGCCCCAGAGCTTGTGGGCAGAACGGACCAGGGAAGGGCAGCTCTGGCAAACAGGGGTCACTCCAGGAGGCTGTACCTGTGGGGTCGGAGGGTGTAGGAATTACCAGACAGGATGGAGAGTATCAACTATCATTAACAGTGTTCTACAACAGATCCCCCCGTGCCCCAACACACATAGACGCAGCTTAGGACCTCAGTGTAAGTCTGGGTCAAACTCTAGCCTCAGGGTCTGTCCTTAGGACCACACAGGCTCCAGCACTCAAGGTCCTGTGGTTTAGTAACATTGACACAAAGTGAACCATGGATCAGGCCAATGCTGTTTCGTACATGCAACAAGGAGACCAGGAACCACCTGATCTTTCCTCCCCTTCTGCTAGAATCTAGTCTTAATATGACAGATGTTTCTGGGATTTCAGAGGTCCAAGTGGCCCAGCAGAATATTAGCTGCCATCTACTCTAGGCCAAATATTTTCACTCCTATTGTATCTAATCCTCACCAAGTCCCTCCCTGACATAGAACTGTGAGTCCCATTTCAGAGTCCCAGAAACTGAGACTCAGGAGAGCTAGTAACTGGCTGAGCTGGACTTCAAGCCTGTTTTCCTGATGCCAAACTCCAGAGTTCTCTGCTAACTCTCACTGTGCTCTGCAGCCTCTGCAGAATTCGAGGGAGAAGAGCTTAATAGAACTAGGGGCAAACAGAAGGATTCATTCACCACCCATGACCTGCCTCAGTCTACCCTCCAGATAACTTGGCTCTTTGTCCCCTCCCACCTTCCTCAATCTCAAGGGGACCTTCTCTCCCAGCCTCAACTCACCTATATTCCCAGCAGGTGGTTGCATCAGGATCTGTCCTGAGGAGGCACCTGGGCAATAGCCCTGCGATGTGCCCCCGCTGGGGCCACAGGGAAACATAAAGAGAGAGTCTTCGGGCGGTGGAAGCGTCAGTGAACTGGGCATGGAGAAGGGGAAAGTGGGGAGGTAGGGCAACTTGGGCTGAGGGGACTGGAAAAGCGGGGGCTGTGGAGCCTGGGAGAACTGGAAGGGTCCTGGCTGGTTGCTCTGTTGGTAATCCTGGGGCTCCAGCTCCTCCAAATATGAACAGGGGGGTGGCAGGGTGATGCTGCAAGGACAGAGGAACAGCTGGTGAGGTGCAGGGGTGGGGGAGCTCCCCGTTCCTACCACAGTAGCGGAGTCCCTACCTCTCGCCTCCTCCTCATCTCCATGGTAAGCCCAGCCTTGCAAGGCTGCTGCAGCTGCCTCTTCTCCCCACTCCCGCTCCTAGCATCTTACCCTTGTTTCTGCTCTATTGCTGTGATCCCCTAGGTCATTCCCCAGATCCCCTTATCCCTTTCATCCCCATCTCCTGTACCACTCTGTGCTCCTCTCAGTTAACCCTCTCCTCTCTGTGTCTATCTTCTCTCCATCTACACCCCCCTACCCCCACCCAGATAACTAGAGTGACCTACCCCCGTAGGTTCCTTACCTTGTCCCCCAGGACCCACAGGGGCCGTCCTTGTGGCTGCTGTCACTGCCAGCAACATCCATCAGCAGTGGCATCAGTTGGGGGGTGTGGACAGGGCCAAGGGGGAAAGGAAGATCGGCCCTTCGCACAGGTGGGGGGCTGAAGAGTGGGGGGGTCACCACCCTCTGAGCACCCTCACTGGGTTGGGTGGGGGCCAAAGTCTGGTCAGAAGTCAGCAGCATGGGGGGCTCTAGGAACAGAAGGCAAAGAGGTGCTATAACGGTAAGGAAATGGGAGGCAGGTTTGGCATCGCTGAATGGTAGACACAAGCCATGCCCAGGTCCCCCTGAATAGGCCCTGCTGGCTGAAACACTGGAGGACTCCAGTCACTCCCACCTCCATCAAACAAGGCCTGTCTTCACTATCTTTAGTTGCCATTTTCCCCCAGCTCTGAAGGTGGGAACTCACCTGGAAAGGTATCCAGAGGGGACTCCTGAGGGAAAGGGTCAGGCTTTGGCTCCATGGGCACAGCAGGTAGGATCTCAGCTGCAGAGCTGGAGGCAGGAAGAATGAAGACTGTAGCTTTGGTGGTCTCTGGATTTGCACAGGTGCCTCATTGCCAGGAGAGACACCAATTCCCAAACTCTGCCTCCTACAGGGCATTGGCAACTTCCCGATCCCATGGCAGCCAAAATCCCTCTAAATCTTAGCTGGCAACCCTAGGACTCATGCCTAGCCTTCCAATGGTCTCCTTCTAGACCCTCAGGATCCCAGCTTGGACCCCACTTCTACCCACAGGGATGATACAGAAAGAGGAAGAATTCTGACCTGCATTGACTGCTGGCAGGGCCAGGGGCTGCAGGATTGTCCTTGCTTTCTTTCCCATTCAGTTTCTCCATTTTTCGCCACTTGGCCCGGCGATTCTGGAACCACACCTATGGGGGGAAAGGTGCTTGAAGAACTGGAGAAGAGGGGCAGAGACTGAGGCTTAGGTCCTGGCTGTTGCACAAGGAGCTACAGGACTTTGGAAGGTCACTCCAGCACTCTGCTTCTGAGCCCTCCGTCAGGCTGGTTTTATCAAAAGTCTCTGCAGTGCCTTCCTCTCCTAATGCTCTCAGGCTGTGGCACTCTGGAAACAGTCAGGGACACAGCCACGTCTGAGGCCTCAATTCAGCTCCTACCCAGGCTACCGCTGAGCGCTCACTCTGCAATTCGAGTGTTTCAATGGTGGGCCCTCCGCCACTCCACCCTGCCACCAGTGAGCCGGCCCCCTTTACCATGATGCGCTGGGGGGTCACCCCCACCGTCTGGGCAATCTCTCGGCGTTTATCACTGTCAGGATAGTGGTCTTCTTGGAATATCTTCTCTAGCTCCTCCAGCTGATCTGAAAGAAGAAGAAACTTGTGTGAGGAGGACAAATGCCAGTGACAGGTAGGTGAAGAGAAAGAGAGGTGCTCACCAAGTATCTCCAACAGATGGGGCCACTGCCCCTAACCCAACACTTTCCCAAAGCCTTTTTCCTATTGGGCTGGGCCTTCTCGCTCTTGGGTGCTACAGCAGAGAGCAGTATGTTTACTTTCTTTACTCTTCTACCCTGGTCCCAACATCATTTTCTTTTTTTCTTTTTTAGACGGAGTCTCACTCTGTTGCCCAGGCTGGAGTGCAGTGGCGCAATCTCAGCTCATTGCAACCTCTGCCTCCCAGGTTCAAGCAATTCCCCTGCTTCGACCTACCAAATAGCTGGGATTACAGGCACAGGCCAGCATGTCTGGCTAATGTTTGTATTTTCAGTAGAGGCGGGGTTTCACCATGATGGCCAGGCTGGTCTCAAACTCCTGACTTCAGGTAATCCACCTGCCTCGGCCTCCCAAAGTGCTGGGATTACAGGCATGAGCCACTGTGCCTGGCTCCAGCCTCATTTTCTGATGTGATAACCCAACCTTCCCTCTGAGGGTCAGAGATAGTTGCACTACCGCGGCCCAAGAGAGAATCCGGGACGAAGTGACATACAAACTAACCCCATCCCTCAGGTCTCCTGGGGGTAGATTCTTCACACAGCCCCACCTTTCCCCAGGATGACCCCAGATCTCTTCGGTTTCCTCTCTTTAGGGACTTACCTGAGCGGTATAGGGTTCGTGTCTTTTTCCTAATTTGGCAGGTCACTTCCGGGGGCCCCTGCTTGTGGTCTCTGTTTTGGTTGCTCTGCGCCAATGTACTGAGGAGATTGGCCAGGTGGCAGGGCCCCCGGCCTGACCCACAGGGCACTGGGTTGTGTGTGGCACGGGCTGAGTTAGGGGCACCCGGAGATGATGTTGGGGCCAGACCCATGGCATTAGGCTTTTTCTGCTTCCCGGGGGCTGGAGAATAGGACCTCTTTCCTATCTTCACCTCTCCCACTGGGAGGGAACAATCTTCCCCCTGAGTCTGGGGCCTGGAGCGGGCTAGAGTTCTGTCTTTGTGGGGAGCCCTGGAGCGGGGGGGCGGGCACAGTCTCCCAGCATCAGCCCCGGTGGCTTCTCCAGAGACTGCTGGCGGCTTCTTCTCTCCTGAGATGGTGCAGGAGGGTGGCAGTTCCTCACTCTGAGTGTCCTGAGCATGAGGGGCTGAGCCCCGGAGCAGTTCCTCCTCCCCGGGTCCTGCAGCCAGGGGCTTCTCTCCAGCTTTCTGGCCTGTGGGGAGCCAACATCCACTGACCTTAGCACCAGGGAGAAGGAAGAACTGGACCAAGAGGAAGTGCTGCTTCCTGCTTTGCAAACGGTTTGATCTTAAGCTTTAATTTGTCTACCTATCAAATGGGGTAATAATTCCACACTTACCTTCCTAGCTTGACTATTGTGAGGATTAAATCAGATAACCCAACTTCTTTGAAAAATGTAGACAAATTTATGCAATTCTGAGACGGCGTTAGCTCATGGTATCTCCTAATTTGGGGGTACTCACCCCTTGTGAGTTCCCTTTTCCCAGACACCAGGGGTATGAGTTTGAGGGACTGTTCAGGTATCTCTAAGGGATCATGTTGGGGCTGCGGATGGACCAGGAAGACAAAGAGAAACAGATTGACAGAGATTCTGCTTCTCCCAAGGCGGGATGCTGTTTCTGCTGCACAACAGGCATTATTGCTTGGAGAAGGGACAAGAAAGGATTCGATTGTCTCCAGCAGCCGAGGCAAGAGCATCAAAAGAGATAACAGGGAGAACCATGGAACTCTGTCTCTGCCAACTCTCCTCAGCTCCATACATGCCCCCCCGCCCGCACCCCCCACCCCACTACCATCCAGCACATCCACTTCCTCCCCCTCCCTGCAAAGCAGGATCTCACTCTCTGGTAAACCTCTCTTTCGAGTAAGGAAACTGGGACCCAGCTAGAACTAAAAACCCTACCACTCATCCCTAAAGCTTGCCTTCCTTTCTGTGAGCTGACTGATGCATTGGGAGCTTATCATGTTCCAGGCATGGCGCTAAGCACCTTTCAAAGATTAGCACAGTGCATATTTAATCTCTGCAAGAACGGCACTGCTAATATTCCCTTCTAACAGATGAAGAAATGAGGATGAGACAGCAGAGTAATATGTCCAAGATCACACAGCACCCTGAGCACGTACTCTGTGTACTTAATCACCACATGGAGTCCTTCCTGGGGCCATCAAATGATCCCCCCACTTTCACCTCCCAACTGACTCATAACTCCAAGAACCCTCAGCTCAGGGAGCTGCTTTATCATTTCCAACTAAATTGGAACATTTGTAATGAATGCTAAGTAACGACTAAGAGCTACTGTTACTTTAATGAAAATTGCATGAGATAGGTCTTAAGGAATAACATTTTTTTTTTTTTTTTTTTTTTTTTTGAGATGGAGTCTCGCTCCGTCGCCCAGGCTGCAGTGACATGGTGCAATTCTGGCTCACTGCAACCTTGGCCCCCTGGGTTCAAGCGATTCTCGTGCCTCTGCCTCCCAAGTAGCTGGGATTACAGGTGTGTGCCACCACACCCAGCTAATTTTTGTATTTTTAGTAGAGATGGGGTTTTGCCATGTTGGCCAGGCTGGTCTCCAACTCCTGACCTCAGGTGGTCCACCAGCCTCGCCCTCCCAACGTGCTGGGATTACAGACTTGAGCCACTGCGCCTGACCCTAGGAATGACTTTGTAACAGAGTGTCAAGGAAAAAGGTCATGGTCAAGGGTGCTGTTCCAAGTCCTTTCCTAGGACACAGGCTGGACCCGACTTGCATGAGAGGGTCTGGGCTGGTGAAGAGGGTGAGCAGGCCTCTATGGAGTGAAGGGACAAAGCTGGCTGGTGGTGTGGGGAAGCAGGGACAAATTTGTTTTACAGCATTTTAGGAGAGCTTGTACTGTAGCAAAAAGCCTGGTACCCAGCACTGTGGGTGCTCCGTAAGCACGTGTCCTATGGGAGTGATGTGCGCTAGTAAGAAGGGGACGGGTGTCAGACCTAAGACTAGAAGGGTCCTGGGGCTCCCAGGGTTCTCTCCCCTGCGCGCTGGGAGACTGGAGGCGGGCAGGGGGCGCGGGGGAGCGGGGAGGGGGGTTGCAATCCCAAAGCACAGGGGGCAGTGAGGTCGGCCTCCTCCCACCCTACCCCACCCGACTCCACCCGGCCCTCGGCCTACTGAAGCTCTTAGGTCGGCTAACGCTGACCTGGTGATCACAGGCCTCCCCCCCTCCCCGAACCCCCAAAGCCTGACCCCCTCGCACGACGGGGTCTCCACACTCACCCAGCGGTCCCTGGCAGGGATTCTCTGTGGGTTCCATGGCCTGGACTCCCGCCGCCGCGGCCGGCCCGTGATGCACAGGCGCGGCCTAATGAAGCCTCGCCGGGCGGGCAGGTGTGCAGCCCGCACGGGCCGGGCCGGGCCGGGGGAGCCGTAGCCCGAGGCTGCGCCCCCTCACCCCCACCCCCACCCCCAGGGCGAGGCCGGCCCGGGAGGCTCGGCTGGGGCAGCTGCGAGGGCGGGGAGGACCCGGGCCTGGGCGCCGCCTGCTCCGCTCCCCCCAGCCAGGAGCCCAGGCCCAGGTGCGGGTCTCCTTCAGGCGGCCCCTCCCGTGGCGGGGCTGGAGGGCGAGGCTGGGGTGGGAGGCGGGAGCGAGGCTACCCGGTGGTCTTCGGGGGGCTGGGCCCAGCCGTGGGGCTCACCCACACCCTATGGAGGACTCAGTCCTGGATCGTGGCTAAAGCCCTTCCCTGTGGACTGTGGAAGGCGATTTCTAGAGCCACTCCTCAAAGGGGAAGCGCTGGGTTGCCCAACTCCCATGCTAGGGCCCCTCCAAGCCTCAGTATTAAGGAGCTTCAAAGTCCCCTTCCTGATTTTGTTTGTTTTTGTTTTTGAGACGGAGTCTTGCTCTGTCGCCCAGGCTGGAGTGCAGTGGGGGATCTCGGCTCACTGCAACCTCTGCCTCCCGGGTTCAAGCGATTCTCCTGCCTCAGCCTCGCGAGTAGCTGGGACTACAGGCGCCCGCCACCACGCCCGGCTAATTTTTTGTATTTTTAGTAGAGACGGGGTTTCACCACGTTGGCTAGGCTGGGCTAGAACTCCTGACTTCAAGTTATCTGCCCGCCTGGGCTTCCCAAACTGCTGGAATTACAGGCGTGAGCCACAGCGCTCGCCCCCCGTACTGATTTGAGGGTCTCCAGAGCACAAAGGCTGCACCGGATGATGAAGAAGGAGCTGAAAGAGCCACAGACTCCGTAGATCCGGTACAGTCCACACACAGGAAATTCAGGTACAGCCAGGGGCGGCCCTGCCAGGGACGGTGTGGTTACTGTGTTTCCATCCATTTGGTGTTTCGATTTTATTCTCTGAGAATGGAAGGGACTTTCTTGGGGGAGATCTCACAGGGGTGCAGCCTTATGATTCCTGGTTCACGGAATGTTTCTTACTATCTTTATACAAACAAAATCAGAATTTAAAAATTCTTGCCTCTTCTGAGCGGGGAGGGGTAGAAAGTCGGAGGGCTGGTCAGATAGAAACAGGTGCTTGGAGCTGGGTGGGGAGCGGGGCGGCCTGGAACAGAATCCAGGTGTTTTGCTTTAAGGATTTAAAAGACTCTGGACACCACGTGCTTTCATGCTGAAATCAGCTGTGGGTACATTTTCCTATTCCTTTAATTGCCTTGAGGGGCTTGGCCTACACATGTGGACTTTGGAGGATTGTGAGACCTTTAGTTCTTTCTGAAACACAAAAATGTAAACTAACTTCGAATATGATCAAGACTTCAGGCATCTGCTGTTTCATTCTGATGCCTTCCATAAGGCGGATAGCTTCTGTTTTATGAGGCGTTCAGATAGATGGGGCCCAGTTTCTGTGCTAGAAATGAAGCATTCCAGGACAAGTGAGCAAGCAGTTGTGGGGCACTGACATTGCTTCCAGGATCATTTGATGGTGAAAAATCAGGACCATTTGGTGGCGACATGGTAAATGGAACCCAGGCACGTCCTTGCTCACAGAAGCTTACTGGTGGAGGGAAGATCATCAAATGATCATGTCAGGGTAGTGTGGTCAGTGGTGAGTTAGAAGTATGAAAGGCTACTATGGAGTACGGAGGAGCAGGAACCCCTTCTGGACTAGGATGGAAGCTTCTTGGAGAAGGTGACACGTGGGCTATGAGCTGTGGAGTTTACCACATCACAGTCCCGCTTAAAACCTGACAGTGACCCCTGACTGCCAGGATGAACGGCAAGCTCTGACATCTGGGTCTTTCCCCTGGATCCTCAGCTCCCCTGTGTTGCCCACCTGGGTATTTCAGTGGTGGTGTGTGTATGTCTTTTTTGGCCTAATGTTTCTCAAAGAATGTTCTTAAAACCCCCTGGATCAGAATTTCTTAGGGAATTTGTTTAAAATGGGGGTTCCAATCCCCAGAAATCTTAATTGGTTGGTCCAAGGAGGTACCCAGAAACATCCATTTGAATCCCCTCAGGTAATTTTTGTGCGTTTCAGAGTTTGAGACACTTTTAGACTTTGCAAAAACTAAGTCAGTTAAAAACTATCCTGGGGATAGGAGTAGGGGCAAGGGATGGTAGGGGCCTGTGTGGGGAAAGGAAATGACCTTTTGCCCTTTACTGAGGTGTCTGCTGCAGTGAGAAGCGGGTGCAATTAATTTCTTAACAGATTATCCTGTCACATTAAACTGAAAATAAGTCATCCTTCTCTGCCATTGTTTATGTTGTATTTCCTCTCTCTAGCTGGCTCCCCTCTGCCAGGGTGAAGGTCAGAAAGCAAAGATCCAAATTGCCCATAGGCTGTATGGCACCCTTCCACAAACTGAAAGATACAGGGTCTGAGTCTACAATAGATTTGCATAGGGACTTAGAGAATTTAAAATATTGGCATTTTTCCAGCGGGGCACAGTGGCTCATGCCTGTAATCCCAGCACGTTGGGAGGCCAAGGTGGGCAGATCACCTGAGGTCAGGAGTTTGAGACCAGCCTGGCCAACATGGTGAAACCCTGTCTCTACTAAAAATACAAAATTTAGCTGGGTGTGGTGGCACACGCCTGTAATCCCAGCTACTTGGGAGGCTGAGGCAGGAGAATTGCTGGAATCCAGGAGGTGGAGGTTGGAATAAGCCAAGATCATGCCACTGCACTCCAACCTGGGTGACAGAGTGAGACTCCGTCTCAAAAAAGAAAAAAAAAAAATTGGCATTTTTCCAAACATAGAAATGAGGTTTTTTTCCCCCACAAATAATATAGTTGGATGTTTTGTTTATTTACATGAAGAATTTTATTGGCTGCAAGTGAATTTTATCTAAGATGTACATTGCATGGGAAAATGTCTGGTGAGTTTTGTTGGGAAGGTGTTGTGTTTTTGATATATCTTGTTAAGTCATATCTTCCATGGATCAACTTCAAGTGAAGGAGGTTTGCTATGGAAGTTAAAATACGGGCTAGAGCAAAGAGACGGCTCAATTATATAGAGGACAACAAGGTATTGTTTTAGGGGAACTTGGGGCTGTTTCTTCCTAAGTCCTGTTTGGTTGCATTTCATCTTTGTGATCAGCTGACTAGTTCATAGCCTAACTCAACTTTGTTTAGAGGACAGGGAGGTATTTTTTTTTAATTTTTAATTTTTTTTTTTTGGTTTCTTAGTTTTCAGAGCTAGACTTTACACCATTACCACCATGCACTTAGAAAGAGTCATTTCTTCCAAAATCTTTTTTTCCCCTCACAGATATGAGAATGCCAGAACAAAAAGAAAGGTGTCTGATACTAAAAAAAAAAGTAGTTAATTTTTTTCAGTCTATGAAGAGTAAGTGAAATAAGTGTTCTTGATCCTTCTCCCTCTCTCTCTATAATGAGAAAAATAACCAGAAGAAGGCGGCTGATTGAGAACATTTTTTGAAGCAAAACCACAAGGTAATGTGTTCTTGTTCTATGGGCCACACCCCAGTGTAGGCAGCATCAGGTCATTGGAACACCTAGGACCAGAAAGGCAAGAATAAGTTGTGAAAGACAGGCAGAAATCTGCAGGGAGATTGTAGTCACAGCCAGGGAGATCGTAGTCACAGCAAGGTATGGGAGGTCAGGGCCCCCGGAAAACCACCAGGAAGAGATGACCTGTCCAAAGCAGAGAGAGCGAAGGGAAGCCTGAGCCAGGCACGTGCTCAGGGACCGGCACTGCCAGAGCCCGGGCAAATGGCCAGATGATTGGATAAATACTGGGGACCGATGACAGGGAAAAAGTGAATGGTCCCAGAGACTGGGAGAGACACTGGCAACTGCCAAAGTATCTGCCCAGGGGCTTCCTTTGAAAGCCCAGAAAAGGATGGTTTCAGGTTGCCTGTGAAGGGAATTAGGAACACCTGGCTAGAGTGGAAACTGCCGGGCAGGGCCAGGACAAGTTCTGGCGTGAATTAGCGTTGTAACTTCTAATGCCCTTGCCCCAGACACTCAGGATAATCTGCGTTTAACAAGAATGGTGACTGTGTTTTAAACATTCTGCTGCTGCTGCCATTGTTTACAATTAATCGCCACTGCTGGTGTTTTGTAATTTAGAATGTACTTTCACATCCATTCTAATTCTCCTGATGTGCCTGAGTCTGGGATGCACTTTCTTCTTTCTATTCTATTCTAGTCTTCTCCAGGATTGCAATCGCTGTGCTAATTATAGCATGGCATTCAAGGACCCCTCAAAACCCGGCCCCAACCTTCACTCAGGCTTCCTCTTTGGCCACCACCACTCCCCTGCCCTGCCCCAAAGTCTCCCCCACTCTTCCAGGTTTTTGTTCCAAGCTTTTACCCTTTAGAAATCGCCATGCCTTCTCAGGGTCACTGATCAAGCTGTATATCAGCATGAAACTTTTTTTTTTTTTTTTTCCTGGCAAAGTCTTACTCATCCTCCAAAACCCAACCCAAATATTCCCTTTCTGGGGAAGCCTGGCTCAGCCTTCCACAGCCAGAATTAACTGCCCCCTCCTAGGTCCTCCCCTTGTACTGTGTTTACATGTATATTACATCACTGCATACAGGCTGAACTGATTAGCGTTTTGTGTATTCTCCACTGGATTGGGAGTTCTTAGATGGTAACATGCATCTATTCAGGCCCGGTGCTTTCTTCTTGCTTTCTAAGTATCAACTCATTGAATTCTAACAACCTATGAAGTTCTATCATATGATTATCCCCATCTTATTGAAGAAAATGTAGCATAAAGAGTTTAATACTTCTCCGAAGGTGACAGTGGCCACCTCAGATTTGAACCCAGTTAGTCTGGTTCCTGCCTGCACTCCTAAACACTAGGCTACACTGTTTATTTGATTGTATCCATCACTGTACTGGCATAGTGAATCCCGCATGGGGGATGGATCATTGTTCAGTGACAAAAAGTTGACCATTGCCAGGAGTTAGGGAGCAGGGGAGGGAAGTGGCTGTGAGTTCAAAAGCGTAGTAGCAGTGATGGAACCGTTCTGAATCTTGGCTATAGTGGTGGTTCCACAAGTCTACACACAAGATAAAACTGCACAGAACTAAATACACACCAGTGCATGAAAACTGGTGAAATCTGAGTAAGGTCACAGACTGTATCAAAGTCAATTTCCTGGTGTGGTATTGTACTGGCGTGACAGAAGATGTAAAACGGGGAAAGTGTATATGGAATCCCTGTATTATTTCTTACAACTGCATGTGAATCTACAATTATCTCAAAAAGCAGGAAAAAAGTTGATCCTAGTGTTCTGACCACAAGTTTGGTTCTCCTGGACTTGGTTAAATATAATTCACAGAAATAATGTTTTGGTATAGTAGCATTATTAACTTTTGCTTAATAGTAACTTTAAAATATAGATTTAAATGATATCTACACCTTTAACAGGGGTGTGGGTGAGCAAGCAGGAGAATTTATATCTAATTTGTTCTAAAAGTAAAACAATAACATGTCTCATAATAGGAATGCAAATTTATTAGAAAAAAGGGTAAATACCGAACAACTGAAAAATGAAGAAGATGCTATTTCTCATCAAACAACAGTATCGGTTATTAACAATTTGGCACATTTCCTCACAGCATTTTTTCCATTATTGCTGTTTTGTATATGATTTTCATGATTGTAATTACACTCCATATATAATTTCAGGCATGTCTCCCTTAAAATGTACTATGAAAAGCACAGTTCTGTATTGTTTCAAAGTCTTCAGAATTTATTGAGTGGCAGTACTGTTATTTAACTATTTTTCAACTGTTGGAGCAATCTTTTGAACTTAAATATTATACGTTTTAAAAAATTAAAAAGGCAAATTTGAAATACAGCTTGCATATTTTTCCCTTAATGGCTTTTAAAAAATAAAAACCTCTTCCACTTGGTTATTCATCTCCCTCTAGATTTTTTTAATAGTCCCAAACCCATGAGAAGCCATGAGGCTGTTTATTTCACAGGAATAGACAGGCTGCCTGGCTGGCAAGTGGATAGCTAAGCGTAACTTCAAGAAGGGGTCCGGGATTCTAAGGTCGTAAACCTGACAGCCAGCAGGGCAGCTTTAGTGAGAGGCAAGAAATGTCCCTGAACAAGGTATTTTTTCCTCCTTTGGTATCTTGGGTCTGTACCAGTTCTGCTGGTGGCTTGATAGATTTTTCCAATGTTTGAGTCTAGGGTCACTGGCTCCCAAGAGGGGATGCTCTACCAAGAGTCCTCAGTGTATGGGAAGACAACTCTGTCTTCTGTTCAGAGTGTGGTGCTCACAATTTTGCTGTTGCTTCCAGGACATGAGCTCACCCTCCTGGGCTTTGAAGCCATCCTTGTCTCTGGTGTCCCAGGTACCCTCCAGGTCTGGTGATGTTAGTGTCAAAAGGAGAGCCATGTCATGGCCAGCAGGTTCCTCTATCCTTTTGGGGCAACACACTTTAAGCTCACTAACTTTATGGTGACAATTCTAGATCTGTAAAATTGAAGATACTCGAGCTTGTCTTTAAATATCTCCTTTGCTTGATGTCAATTGAGGGCAAGATCAGTAGTGTGGGTTAGAAGCTGGGAGCAGCTTCCTTTGCACGGAGGAGAGAATGGTGAAATATTAGGCTTGCGTTTAGTGAGGCGTAGAGATTAAACAATGATAGCAGACTAGATTGATTACCTGACAAATAATTAGGCCTGCAAAACCTGTCATTCCGTTGCTTGGAAGGAAGCAATCAAACTGGATAGGCTATGAGATCCAGCCTTTGTTTTGCAAAGGGATTCTGATCGTTTCTGTTTTACAAGCTGCATTGCTGTATGCTGCACATGTTATTAAGGTGGTGCAAGGCAGTGCAGGTTGTGAGTGGGCAACCTGGAGCTCAGTCAGGCTCTCATTCAGAGCAGTCCTAAGGAAAAGGAGAGCAGAGCAACAGAGAGGGAAAAGCCATATTTGGAACTAGAGATGTACTAGATATCACTGGATATGCATTCTTGAGTCAGGAGACCTAGTTTATGATCTGAGCTCTTAGAGATCCTGCTCCAAGGTCCAGTTCTTCAGCTTCTCGGTTGATGTGGGCTCCTGAGCAAGGGAAACACATCTCTCAAACTTAACCTGATTTTCAAACTGAATTCCTGATTCCCACCCGCAAACTTGTCACTCCTCCTGTCCTCCCGATCTTTGTATCCTCCACCCAGCTGGAATCACCCTTGATTTCTCTCTCACACACAGCATCTATAGAAACTGCCAGATTATTCCTGTTGCCCTCTTTTTACTCCCAGCCCACTGTCACCCATTTTCCAGAGATTTGCATGTGAAAGTCTTAAAATGTAAATTAAGGCCGGGTGCGGTGGCTCACGCCGGTAATCTCAGCAATTTGGGAGGCCAAGGCAGGAGGATCATGCGGTCAAGAGACGGAGACCATCCTGGCCAACATGGTGAAACCCTGTCTCCACTAAAAATACAAAAAAATTAGCTGGGCATGGTGGTGCACGCCTGTTGTCTCAGCTACTCAGGAGGCTGAGGCAGGAGAATCACTTGAACCTGGGAGGCTGAGCTTGCAGTGAGCCGAGATGGCGCCACTGCACTCTGGCTACAGAGCAAGATTCTGTTTCAAAAAAAAAAGAAAAAAAAAAAAAGGTAAATTAAGCCATATATGTTTTTCTCCTATTTGTATGCTTCAGTGATTTTCCAGTGTACTTACAGGAAAATTAAAACTTCTTGCTGTGGTCCTGTGTGATCCGGCTCCGGTTTACCACCCCAGCTTCATCTCAGGTGACTCTTCTGATCCTTCAAGCACTTGAAATAGATCAAATTTTCCCATTTCAAGGTGTTCACATATGCTGTTCCTGTGCTTGGCCAAACTATTCTCTTTGTTCTTGTGATTAGTTCATAGTCAGGATTGAGTTTAAATGGTATCCCTCAATGTCAAGTCCTTCAGCCACATTATCTGCTTAACATCTGCCTCCTGATACTTTCTGTTTCCATTACAACTCCTAACACAACATATAATTATATGTTTATTTGTTTACAATCTATCTCTTTTACTATATTTTAAGTTTCATGGGTACAGAAACTATCCCAGTTTGTTTCAACAATGTATACCTGTGTATAGGACATATCTAGCACAGTGGCTGGGCTCTAAGTGTTAACTGTTTGTTGAATGAATAAATGAACTAATAATGTGGACCTTTTAGTTGGAAAAAAGAGAAAATTATCAGATTTATGGCACAAATGGCAGTTTTGGGAAATTCACAATTTGATACATTACAGGTATTTGGTAAGCAGATTAAGTTACAATGCTTCCTGAAAATATGGATTGGCCATTTTGAGAACTGAAGAATCCAGAAACTAGGGATAAAATGTGGCATTTTAATGTCCATTCTAGAGAATATAATGAGACTTGCATTACACTTTGGTAAAGTCCATAGTCACCAGAGGCCATTGCTTTTCAGAGGCTGAGAAGAAAAGCAATAGTCAGAGCTACAGCCCATTAAGGCTGTTACAGTCTTCAAAGATGGGCACAGACAACAAAAAATGGCTTTGTAGGCAACATATAGTTGAATCTTGCTTTTTAAAATTCAGTCTGACAATCTCTGCCTTTTGATTAGGGCATTTAGACCACATATAAAAGTTGTTGAGCCTGTAATTCCAGTACTTTGGGAGGCCGAAGTGGGTGGATCACAAGGTCAAGAGATCAAGACCATCCTGGCCAACATGGTGAAACCCCGTCTCTACTAAAAATACAAAAATTAGCTGGGCGTGGTGGTGTGAGTCTGTAGTTCCAGCTACTCAGGAGGCAGAGTCAGAAGAATTGCTTGAACCCAGGAAGTGGAGGTTGCAGTAAGCTGAGATCGCTCCACTGCACTCCAGCCTGGCGACAGAGCAAGATTCTGTCTCAAAAAAAAAAAAAATTATTGATATAGTTGAGTTTAAATTTATGATCTTAGTGCTCTTTTTCTATTTGTCACACCTGTTCTTATTTCCTGTTTTCTCCTTATTTTTGAGTCATTGAATATTTTTATGACTTAATTTTATCTCATTTGTTGGCTTATTGAGTATATTATTGATTTATAAAATTCATTGATTTTTTTTTTAGTGATTGCATTGGGACTTAAAAGATATATGTTTAATTTATCAGAATGTGCCTTAAAGTGACATTAAATCACTTCATTGAAATATAAGAACCTTACAACATTAGACTTCTTCTTTTTTTTTTTTTTTTTTTTTGAGGCAGAGTCTCGCTCTGTCGCCCAGGCTGAAGTGCAGTTGCGCCATCTCAGCTCACTGCAACCTCCGCCTCCTGGGTTCAAGTGATTCTCCCAGCTCAGCCTCCCGAGTAGCTGGGATTACAGGTGTGTACCACCACACCTGGCTAATTTTTGTATTTTCAGTAGAGACAATATTTCACTATGTTGGCCAGGCTGGTCTTGAACTCCTGACCTTAGGTGATCTGCCCGCCTTGGCCTCCCAAAGTGCTGGGATTACAGACAACATTAGACTTCTGTGTCTCCCCTCTCAGCCTTTGTGCTATCATTATACAGTTTTCTTCTATGTGTTATAAACCCCACAACACATTGTTATTTTTTATTTCAATGGTCAGTTATCTTTAAAAATATTTTCAAAATAAGGAAAAAGAGTATTCTGTATTTACTTACATATTTATCATTTCCAGTGCTCTATCCTTCGGATATATCCAAAGGATATCATTTTCCATGTTAAAGCAATGTCTTCAAGATTTCCTGTAGTAAAAATCTGGTGACAATTTCTTTCAGCTTTTATATTTGTGAATGGTGTTTATTTTGTCTTCATTTCTGAAAGCTGGGTATAGAATTCTATGCTGATATGTTTTGTTGTTTCTTGAATACTACTATGAAGATGTTGGTCCATTTTCTTCTACCTTATATAATGTCACTAAAGAAAAAGCTGCTATCACAATTCTTATCTTTGTTTCTCTGCACAGGTGACTTTTTGTCTTTAGCTGATTTTAATATTTTCTCTTTATCACTAATTTTAAATAGTTTATGATGTGCCTTAGTGTAGTTTTCTGTATGTGTCTTGTGTTTGGGATTCATTTAGCTTCTTGAATTTGTGAGTTTATAGTTTCCATCAAATTAGGAGATTTTTTTCATTGATTATTTCTTCAAATATTTTTTTCCATCCTTCTCTCTCTCCCTTTCTTTGGGGCCACCAATTTTACAGATATTAGCCTTTTGAAGTTGCCTTATGGTTCCCTAAGGCAACTGTTTTTTTGTCTCTGTGTTTCATTTTGGAGAGTTTCTATTGCTATATCTTCAAGTTTTGTATTTTTTTCTTCTTCAGTGTCTGTAGTTATTATATCCAGTTTGTCATCTCAGACATTAATTTTTTTCATCCCTAGACATTTGATTTGGGTGTTTTATATCTTCAATGTCTAAACATGCAAATATTCTCCTTTATCTTCCTGAATAGATGAAATAAAATTATGTAACTGCTTTAACGCCCTTGTCTACTATTTTTATATCTATTTCTATCAATACTTTTGTCTAGATTATGGCTCATTTTTTTCTGCTGCTTTGCGTAGCTGGAAGTGTTTTATTAGATGCTAGACATTGTAACATTGTGAATTTTACCTTACCGGATTTACTGTGTGAGAGGGTGTGTGTATATGTAAGTGTGTGTGTGTGCTTGTGTGCTTGTTCTGTATCCTGTTACTTGGAAGTACTATCACCTTTTCAAGACTTACTTTTAAGTTTTTTAAGATAGAGAGGGATTCCAACTAAGGCTAATTTTCCCTGCCAAAGCAATATCTTCTAAATACTCCACCCAATGCCCCATGAATTACAATGTCCTTCCACTCTGGCTGGTAGAAATCCAAACTATTCCTGGCCCTGTGTGAACTTCACTGGTTATTTTACCTTTTCTTTTTCATTGGTTCTTTCCTCGCTAGGGTAGTTTCCTCACACACATGTAGTAATTAGTACCCAGCTGAGGGTTCTCTTTCTCCATCCTTCTCTCCTTCAGCTCCTCTCTGGGTGGTGCTCTCCTTCCCAGTACCCACCTTCGTCTTCCCAAATTCTCAATTCTGTATCCTCAACTCAGCTAGACCACCCTCTGGCCTGAAATCTGGAACTTTCCTCTAGACAATAAGCCACAGTAATTGTGGGCTCATCTTGTTTCCTTTTTCTCAAGAATGATTGTCTCGTACTGGCTGTTGTGCAATATCTGAAAACCATTGTTTTACATATTTTGTAAAGTGTTCTAATTGTTTGGGATGGTAGGGTAAATCTGGTTTCTGTTTGCCCATTTTGGCTGGAAGATGAAGTGCCCACAAACTGTACATATTGACTAGTTCTCCACTGTGTACAGGATAAAGTTCGAACTCATTAGTTTAGCATACTTAGTACATTACAAGCAGACTTCATGACAATCTCCTACCCACACCTCACCCACTTCTAGTAACTCAAGACGGCATGCCACCTCTTGACCATATCCATACTTTTTCATGTCTTAGTGCATTGCACATGCTCTTGTCTTTGTCTAGGATGACTTTATTCCCCTGTATCTTCCATCTTTCCAAATCCCGCTTGTTCCTCAAGACCCAACTCAATTACCAGTTCTTCTGTTAAATTTTACCAGACCTGAGTGTTAGTTGCTACAGGATATGATTTTATTATGTTCTTATAACACTATTATAGAGTGTCTTTATTTGACTTACACACCTGATGGAGATGTCTTCATCTCCTCAAGGGCAGTAACCTCGACATCTTATTCACATTTTCATCTCTCAGCCTAGCTTAGTGCCTGACTTAGGTTCTTGGCAAATGTCTACTTCTGAATGAATGCCCTGTCATAGTGCATAATCTTGCTTTCTGAAAATAGTATTGGCTTGCTTATTTGGAGGCATGTGGGAATGATTAAAAAAATAAAATAAAACTTGGACTGGAATAGCCACCATGGTCTAGCAGGTGTTCTGTGTTATGTTAATCACAGAGGATGCTGGGCAGGTGCTGGTTCCCTTCTAAGCCTTTATCTCAGCATTAAAACAATTCATAGCCAATAGCTGGGATTTTTCTCTCACAGATGGTGGAGTTCTGTGACTTATGTCTGGGAGAGGTAAGTGCAGGAAGAGTTGTTCCTTGGAAGTTCCATAAAGGGAATATAATCACTTCCAAAGCATCAGCTTCAACTGAAAGAGCTGGAATCAGCTACTTCTGGCCTGACCAAAGCCAGTATCTTAGACAGCTATGTCTCAGGTATGCCCTGAACTGCCTGGGGCATGTGTCTCAGGATAATGTATATTAAGGATTCAAGATTCTTAACTGTTCTTGAAGGCTAACAATTTAGGAAAGAGCAAACATTTTAGAAGCCCACCTCCTTATTCAAGATGGAGAAGAGTAATCAGATATGTCTCTGAATAAAACAAAGTCCACCAGAATGTTAAACACACACACACACACACACACACACTCACACACTCACACACTCTTACTCTTACTCTCTCTCTCTCTTCTGAGTTTGTTTACTTGCCTGCCAGACAAAGGAGTATACACTGTCAACAAAATTCACTGAATACTTAATGGGAGGGGGTCAGGGTGAGGAACAAAAGGCTTTATTCACTAGAAAAGGGCTTCAAGGTGGTTATACTAAGTAGTGATTGAAAACTCCCTCTCTGAATGGAAAAAAATGAGTTCTTGTCCATACATGTTTGGCTTAATCATGTCCCATTTTAGAAAGTAATCTGTACTTTGGTACACTGAGGTTCTGACATACCAGATTACTCACAATTCTGAGTCCTTTATCAGCTTGAGATGTTGGCTTGCTGAAAGTTCATGGCTGTTCAGTGACTTCATCTGATTGGAAACAGTTTTGATGAACCCAACACTCAGTTTTGACTTCTTCTATGCACATGTAGCTATAAGTGTAAAATTGTCCTTTTATAGATGTGATCATGTAATTTATCCCACGTTGAATTTGGGCAGGGGGCATACCTGATTTAGCTTGGAGAAGGGCACAACATGAACTGTATATTGGTGGGCGAAAATTAATGATATTTGATATATATAAGACTCTAAAAAATATAATTTATCAAATGCTGAAGAAAAGAATTTGGGCTTTGCAGTAAGGAAGACTTAGTTTTGCATTGCATTTCTGAACATATTCATCTTAATCTGTTTTTTTCATATAAAACAAAATATCAGTCTTATCAGCTAATGGGAAGATTAAATGAGATGATGTATGTAAGCAACTCCCACAGTGTCCTACTGTGTCCGGAATCGGTGGGTTCTTGGTCTCACTGACTTCAAAATTGAAGCCGCGGACCCTCGCAGTGAGTGTTACAGTTCTTAAAGGCGGCGTGTCCGGAGTTTGTTCCTTCTAAGGTTCGGATGTGTTCGGAGTTTCTTCCTTCTGGTGGGTTCGTGGTCTCGATGGCTTCAGGAGTGAAGCTGTAGACCTTCGCGGTGAGTGTTACAGCTCATAAAGGCAGTGTGGACCCAAAGAGTGAGCAGTAGCAAGATTTATTGCAAAGAGCGAAAGAACAAAGCTTCTGCAGTGTGGAAGGGGACTCGAGCAGGTTGCCACTGCTGGCTCTGCCAGCCTGCTTTTATTCTCTTATCTGGCCCCACCCACATCCTGCTGATTGGTCCATTTTGCAGAGAGCCAATTGGTCTGTTTTACAGAGAGCTGATTAGTCCGTTTTGACAAGGTGCTGATTGGTGCGCTTACAATCCCTGAGCTAGACACAAAAGTTCTCCACATCCCCACTAGATTAGCTAGATACAGAGTGTCAATTGGTGTATTTACAAACCCTGCGCTAGACACAGAGTGCTGATTGGTGCATTTACAAACCTTGAGCTAGATACAGAGTGCCGATTGGTGCATTCAAAATCCCTTAGCTAGGCATAAAGATTCTCCAAGTCCCCACCAGACTAACTAGATACAGAGTGCTGATTGGTGCATTCACAAACCCTGAGCTAGACACAGAGTGCTGATTGGTGCATTTACAAACCTTGAGCTAGATACAGAGTGCTGATTGGTGTATTTACAATCCCTTAGCTAGACATAAAGATTCTCCAAGTCCCCACCAGACTCAGGAGCCCAGCTGGCTTCACGCAGTGGATCCCGCACCAGGGCCGCAGGTGGAGCTGCCTGCCAGTCCCGCGCTGTGTGCCCGCACTCCTCAGCCCTTGGGTGGTTGATGGGACTGGGCACCGTGGAGTAGGGGGTGGTGCTTGTCGGGGAGGCTTGGGCTGTGCAGGAGCCCACGGCGGGGTGGGGGGCTCAGGCATGGCAGGCTGCAGGTCCCGAGCCCTGCCCCACGGGGAGGCAGCTAAGGCCCAGCGAGAAGTTGAGCACAGCATCTGCTGGCCCAGGTGCTAAGCCCCTCACTGCCCGAGTGTGGGGCCCGCCGAGCCCACGCCCACCTGGAACTCATGCTGGCCCGCAAGCGCCATGCGCAGCCCTGGTTCCCGCCTGCATCTCTCCCTCCATACCTCCCTGCAAGCTGAGGGAGCTGGCTCCGGCCTTGTCCAGCCCAGAAAGAGGCTCCCACAGTGCAGTGGCAGGCTGAAGGGCTCCTCAAGCACGGCCAGAGTGGGCACCAAGGCTGAGGAGGCACTGAGAGCGAGCGAGGGCTGTGAGGGCTGCCAGCAGGCTGTCACCTCTCAATCCCCCCTCTAAACAGGACACCCCAACTGCTGTTGGGAATTTGGCCGATGACCGCTCTAGCTACTTCCTGCTGGATAGGGGCAAAGAAGGGGCCCTGCAGTTGTAGTGTCCTCCAGAGGGGAACTCTCTAGGCCAGTGGAAGTGCCAGTGGATCGGTCCAGGGGTCCTTGGTAGAAGTTGTTAGTTGAACTCATTTGGGGTTCCATTTGTAAGACCATCTGTAGCTTGATGGCTTCGATCCTAGAGGAAACAAATTTGACAAGAAGGTTAAAAATACAGGGCCCAAAGGCGAGTAACAGCAAGATGGCTGCCATGGGACCTAGAAATGGGAGAAGCCATGTTGCCCAACTCCAGAGGTTGGTATAAGAGTTTGAAAGGCATTGTCTGATATCAGAAGCCCTTTCCTGTAAATGCCAGGTGGCATCTCGTACTATCCCTGACTGGTTAGTGTAAAAACAACACTCTTCCCCTAAGAAGGTGCAGAGTCCTCCTTTCTCAGCAGTGAGGAGGTGTGGGCCTCGGCGGTTTTGGAGAGTCATTGCTGCCAAAGAGTCTAATTGGGATTGTAAAGTAAGAATAGATTTCATTATTTCTTGCAAACTGTCTGAGAAATTCTTTGAGAGTGTATGGTAGTAGGATAATGAAGTAGATAAACCGGCTATTCCAGTTCCTGTAGCAGTAGCCATTCCTAACCCTATAAATAGGGATATTAGTTGTATGGCTCTGCACTGACGGACTTTAGCTTTGACAGGTACCAATAGGGTCTGATTTCCTGGGGCAATGTTAATGTTGGGACTTAGAAAGACTAAGGTTCAGGTGCCTGTCCAGTTAGTGGGGAGGCAGATATAGGTTGATGTTCCACATAAGAAGAATATGCCTTGGCTAGGTAGACAGAAATTTACCCTGGCTTTTAAAGGAATAGGGTATACTGTTTTTTCTTTACTACTTCTTTCTCTCTTCAAGTTCTTCTTTGTTTCTTCCTCTCTTTTTTTCTTTCTCTGACTTTCTCTTTTTTTCTTTACTTCTTGCTGGTCTTTCCCTACTTCTGCCAGCCACTTTTGCTGCTGTTTTCCCCTCTCCTTCCCCATTTTGATGGCTTTGGCAGTGTAAGACTGCCACCTCCTTGTGTTTTTGCATTGGGTGCAATAACTCTATAATTTCCTTGTGGTATTTAATGGTGGTTGCCCCAGAGGTTAGGAACTCCCTCTCTTTCCATATTGCAGCATAGGCATGTAGGATTAGATAAGCATACTTGCTATCTGTATACACATTTATTCTTTTTCCCTTTCCCAGTTCTAAGGCTCGGGTAGGTGCCACTAGTTCTGCTAACTGGGCACTGGTCCCTGGGGGAAGAGGCTTACTTTCAAGTATGGTTACATCACTAACTATGGTGTAACCTGCCCTTCGTATCCCATTCTCCACAAATGAACTTCCATTGATATATAGGTTAAGGTCAGGATTAGCTAAGGGGACTTCTAAGAGATCATCTTGGGTGGCATAAGTCTGGACTATAATTTGTTGGCAGGCATGCTCGATTGGTTTCCCATCCTCTGGGAGAAAAGTGGCAGGGTTGAGGGCCATGCACATGCATATTTGAAGCACCGGTCCCTCAAGGAGTAGCGCCTGGTATCTAAGTAGGCAGTTATCTGATAGCCATAAACTTCCTTTGGCACCTAGTATGCCATTTACATCATGAGTAGTCCAGACAGTGAGATCCTTTCCTTGTATTATTTTGATAGCCTCTGACATTAAGACGGCCACTGCTGCAACTACCCTTAAACAGTGAGGCCAGCCTTTTGCTACTACATCAGTTTCCTTACTTAGGTATGCCACTGGTTGTGGGGTTGTCCCACAAGTCAGTGTAAGGACTCCAAGGGCTATCCCAGCAATCTCTGTGATGTAGAAAGAGAAGTTTTGTCCTGTGGGAGGGCTTAAAGCTGGAGCTTGTACTAGGGCCTGCTTTAAGGTTTTGAAGGCTGTTTCTGCCTCTGGTTCCCATTCTACTAGATGAGTATTTGCCCTCTGGGTTTCCTTGATTAAAGTATAGAGGGGCCTGGCTATCTCACTGTATCCAGGGATCCATAGTCGGCAAAAGGCAGTAATTCCAAGGAACCCCCGCAACTGTTTTAATGTCTTAGGGTGAGGATAAGCCAGTATAGGCTGTATTCATTCCTTGCTGAGGGCCCTGGTCCCTCTGGAAAAGATTAGGCCTAGATATTTGACCTGCTGTAGGCAAAGCTGGGCCTTCGACCTAGACACCTTGTACCCTTGATTAGCTAGAAAGTTCAAGAGATCTACAGTAGCCTGCTGGGACGAGGCTTCTGAACTGGTAGCCAAGAGTAAATCATCCACATATTGAAGGACCAGAGTGCCTGGACTTCAGAAGTGGCCTAGATCTTGGGCCAGTGCCTGACCAAACATATGAGGGCTATCCCTAAACCCTTGGCACAAGACCATCCACATAAGTTGGGACGTGTGGTCTGTGGGATCCTCAAAGGCAAAGAGAAACTGGGAGTCAGAGTGCAGGGGAATACAGAAGAAGGCATCCTTGAGGTCCAGAACCATGAACCATTCTGCTTCCTCTGGTATTTGAGAGAGCAGGGTATAGGGGTTGGGTACAACTGGATATAGAGGAATTACTGCCTCATTGATGAGTCTAAGATCTTGCACTAGTCCCCACTGACCATTCGGTTTTTGTACTCCTAGAATTGGGGTGTTGCAGGGACTGCTGCATTTCCTTACTAAGCCTTGAGCTTTCAAATGTTTAACAATATTCTGTAATCCTTTATGAGCTTCAGGCCTTAAGGGATATTGCCTTTGATAAGGAAAAGTGGTGGGATCTTTTAACCTGATTTGGACTGGGCGGGCATTTTTCTCCCTTCCAAATTGTCATTCCAATGCCCAGACCTCAGGGTTGATTCCCTCCTCAAGTAGGGGACAACAAATGGGTAACTTGTTCCCCATATTCATGTAGATAATAGCTCCGGCCTTGGCTAATATATCCCTCCCTAATAAGGGTGTGGGACTTTCAGGCATAACAAGAAAGGCATGTGAAAAGAGCAAAGTCTCCCAATTACAACTGAGGAGGTGGGAGAAATACCTGGTTACAGGCTGTCTCAGAATTCCTCGGATGGTAACGGACCTTGAGGATAGTCATCCAGGACAGGAGATTAACACTGAGAAGGTCATGCCAGTGTCCAGGAGGAAGTCAATTTCCTGGCCCTCAATAGATAAACATACCCAGGGCTCAGTGAGGGTGATGACATGAGCTGGCGCTTGCCCCAGGCACCCTCAGTCCTGTTGTTGGATCATCTGGTTGGGGGCTTCTGACCCAGGGAACCTTCATCCTCTGGGGCAGTGCACCTTCCAGTGATTGCCTCGGCATTGTGGACATGGATGAGGGGGCAGCTTGTTTCTCATTGGACAATCTTTTTTAAAGTGTCCTAGTAAACCACACTGATAACAAGCCCTACCAGGTGATTGACCTGCCCCATTTTCTGTCCTCTCTGAACCACCAGGGTTTGTTTGTCTGAGGGCCATGACTAAGGCTGTGGCTTTCCTCTGATCTCGCTTTTCCTTTTGGGCCTGTTCCTCTTGGTCCCTATTATAGAACACCAAGGTTGCCAGGTTTAATAATGCCTCTAAGATTTTGTTCAGGGCCCAGGGCTTGCTTTTGGAGCTTTCTCCTGATATCTGCAGCTGATTGGGTAATAAACTTATCTTTTAGAATCAATTGACCCTCGAGTGATTCGGGTGACAGGGGAGTATATTTTCTTAAGGCCTCTCATAGCCGCTCGAGGAAGGAAGGATTTTCTTCCTTTCCCTGAGTTATGGTGGACATCATTGAATAATTCATGGGCTTTTTTCTAATTCTCCTTAGTCCTTCTAGAACACAGATCAACAGATGTTTATGACTCCATTCCCCATGATCTGAGTCAAGGTCCCAGTGGGGATCCATACTGGGGATGGCTTGCTGACCAGTAGGGAATTTGTCCCTTTTTTCAGCTGTCATTCTATCATTTACTGACTAAGATACCAGGTATCTCCAAACTCTCAGGCTGCAGCTAAAGCTGCGTTCTTTTCATTAAAGGCCAGGGTTTGAACTAACAGTAGCATGACATCTTTCCAAGCGAGGTCTAAGGTTTGCCCTAGACCCTGTAGGACATCTATGTACCTATCAGGATCATCTGAAAACTTCCCCATGTCTGCCTTGACCTGCTTTAAATCAGAGAGGGAGAAGGGGACATGTACCCGGGTTGGGCCAAATTCCCCTCCTCCTGCAGCTTGAAGGGGACATAACCGATAACCTGGGGGTCTTTGTGGTCCTTTGGAGATTTCTTTGCTTATTTCCTTCTGGGCAGGGGAGATTAGAGGAGGATTATCATTAGTAGGAAGGGGAGCTATTGGGAGGCTGGGATATGGGGGTAAGCTGAGAGGTCCTCCTGTGGGATGTAAATTGTAAGCTTTGCATAGTTGTGTATTCTCCCTCAATGAAAAGAAAGCTTGGATGTAAGGTATTTCACTCGATTTGCCTTCCCTCTTACAGAGAAGGTCAAGCTGCAGGATAGTATTGTAATTTGTACTTCCCTCAGGTGGCCATTTTTCCCCATCAGAGAGAATATTGGGGCCAAGCCATAGTGCAGAAAAAAATGAGCCACCTCTTTTTCAGGGTTTATGGGTCAAATTGGTCCCAATAGCTTAGGATGCATTTCAAGGGTGAGCCTGTTGATGCCTGAGTGTTTCCCATCTGAAAGACAAAACTGCCCATGGTTTTGATTTGTTTTGTTTCTCCCCCTGCCCAAGAACCCACAACAGTCCCTGGACCCTGCTGATCGGAATAGTTGTGCTCACCGACGCAGCAGCAGAAACACTAGTTTTCCTCCCAGACCACATGGAGGACCAAGGAAGGTTGGATTTAGTGGCCTTTACCAATGCATTCTCAAAAACCTGCATCCTTGCCTGTCCTCCTAGACCACAAGGAGGACTGACCAAGAAAAATCGGATTTAGTGGCCCTTACCGACACATTCTCGAAAACCTGCTAGAGTCCTAAGCATTCTCCTGTTAGTATTGGGACGTTACCCCTGTCCTATAAAGATGTTATGCCCCAAAAATGAAGTGGAGGGCTATGCCCTTAGGGAGGGAAGGGATCTCCAGGGTTGGAATAGCGACACCTTTTGTCCTCACTTATATGAATAGGAAGGATACAATTTCTGAGGCTCCCCATATTCTAGCTTCAGGAATAGGTTTTGTTAGGCCTGTTAGTCTGAGGAGGGATCCTAAAATTCCAAGTAGTCCCCAGGACAATGGGGCTTTGGGCAAAAATTATGTCTTTCTGATTGGTGAGCCCAGGTGCCTAAAGAAGGTAACAAAGTCCTGGAGTTTATACTAGAAATCATTTTTATAGAAGAAACTAGAAAAGCACCAGAGACAGGTAGCAATTTTTAGAAGCGGGACTAACCTTGGAGAAGAGAGGCAAGAGGAAGTTTGTCTGGCAGGCATTAGGACCCAGGGGGCAAGGGTCAGGATAGATAGGAGAGATGGGCGAGTCTTGCTTGGGCAACATGCCTTTGAGAGTTCCACTCATGGCCGCAGGGTCAACCAACTTGTTGTCGGGACCCCGGAGCTGCATGGCTTTCCTCTCTGTCAACCCTAGGCTCAGCCCAGAAGTACAAGAAAAGTGGAAGCTGGTTCGAGGCACACCAACGCTCCCAACTCCAAAGAGTCGGGGGTTGTTAGAGAGCCCTATCCCAGAAAACCTGACACCCATGTCTTTAGTCTGGCGGCCACGCTAGTCGCTTTTAACTGGCCGACAGGTACCCGGTATTTAGCCCCGGAATTCTAAGGAAAAATAGGACAGAATAGCAAGCGAAAGGGGTCCAATGGTACTCACTGCTTGGCAATAGGCGATTGTCTTGCCGCTCAGCAATAGGTGATGGTCTCACCGCCCACGCCTCTCCCTCCACACCTCCCTGCAAGCTGAGGGAGCCAGCTCCAGCCTTGGCCAGCCCAGAAAGGGGCTCCCACAGTGCAGCGGCGGGCTGAAGAGCTCCTCAAGTGTGGCTAGAGTGGGCGCCAAGGCCGAGGAGGCACCGAGAGCGAGTGAGGGCTGCAAGGGCTGCCAGCACGCTGTCACCTCTCACTACCTGCTTCTCATGGGATAAACAGTGAATAGCTGATAGCTTTTCTGTGGTGCAAACCCCCACCTACATGTACCCCACATATGTGCGTGCCTCCACTGTCCTTGCATACCCTCCTGCACTCTTTGCCTCCTTCTGACAATGTCCCTTCCACTTCTATACTTGCACCCCCCTTTTCATGTATAACTTATTTCTTGTTTCTCCCTAAAAACACACTATTTGCAGATCTAAAATATTACCTTAATTCATAGTCTTCATTAAAATTAGATTCTATTGTAACTTCAGTACACTGTTCCTGTTTATTATAAGATTCTGAATGCTTGGTGTTGGAAATAAGACTGCCCTGAGGAAGGCAAATCATCAAATGCATCTGCAAAACAGTTTTAGATTTGGGAACATCAGAGAACTAGCATCTTAGATGTTCAGAACCAGTGAGTATTACTCCCTTCATCCTCTATTCCCAATACGGGGCCCTACATGGCCTATGGCATAATTCTAATTTTACTCAAATGGCAAAGGCCTTCTTTGATACACTGAGAACACTGTGGAATATTTGGTACTTGTTGACCAAGACTGGGAGATCTGTCCTTCTTTCTGTGCACAGGAGAAAACAGTCATATTTGAGATCAAGGAATTTGTGCAATTATAAACCAACAAATGCTCAACTTCCCATAAAACAAGATGGAGAACTGGGTGCCCTATTTCATTAAAAAAAAAAAAAAAGCATATCCTTTGAGAATATATAAGAATCCTGGATATCTGGCCCTGAAATCTGAGGGACTTTCTTCACCATTTTCTCACCAAATCTAGTTTAAAGCTTTCTCTAGTGCATTTGAAAGGAGTGACAAAAGTACATGGTACAAAGTGGCTTAGAGTGACTGCAATGTTGTTTTGCAACATTTTAGGCAAGATTGGGACTGTAATATTCATTATTGTTTGATATAGTTTGACTCTGTGTCCCCACCCAAATCTCACCTTGAATTGTATTCCCATAATTCCCACATGCTGTGGGAGGGACCAGGTGGAAGATGATTGAATCATGGGGGTGGATTCTCCCATACTGTTCTCGTGGTAGTGAATAAGTCTCATGAGAGCTGATGATTTTATCAGGGGTTTCCACTTTCATGTCTTGCTCATTCTCTCTTTGCCTGCTGCCATCCATGTAAGATGTGACTTGCTCTTCCTTGCCTTCCACCATGATTGTGAGGCTTCCCGAACCACATGGAACTGTAACCAATTAAACCTCTTTCTTTTGTAAATTACCCAGACTTGGGTATGTCTTTATCAGCAGTGTGAAAACAAACTAATACACTGTTTGTTCAAAAAGAGCCATCCATTAAAGATGTGTACAGTGTGAAACTTATCAAAGAGGGAAAAGAAGACTGCAGTGTGACTGGGACAGGATACGTTATGCTGCAATTTAAAAAAATGAATCCTCAAATTCCAGAGTCTTGAAACAACACCACTCATTTGTCACTCATAGTACATGTCCATCACTGGTCAGCAGGGCATTCTGCTGCATGTACACAAAGGCCCAAGCTGACCATCTTACAGCTCCTTCATCTGGAAAGCACATCTTCCTCCTCAGCCCTGCCAGCAGGAGAAATGAAGGCCTTTCAACTGCCTCAGCTTCTTCTATCTCTCCATTCTTCCTGAAAACTTACTATCCATGGGTCCAAAAGATGATCTTTATTCATATTCCTCATTGGGAGAATGGAAATTGAAGACTGACCCCCTCCTTTCTGCTCATATTTTGTTAGCCTGAAGTAGTCTATGGTCATGATTAATTGGAAGGGAACCAGGAAATGTGTGAGAAAAATGGAATGGAATATTTGGGACAACAGTATTGTCTTTGCCTCAGCCTGCTCTTTTGATCACTGAATGTCTATTTACCCCCCATATTAGTCCATTTTTGCACTGCTAGTAAAGACATACCCAAGAGTGGGCAATTTACAAAATAAAGAGGTTTAATGGACTTAACAGTTCCACATGGCTGGGGAGGTTTCACAATCATGGTGGACGGCAAGGAGGAGCAAGTTACATCTTACGTGGATGGTGGCAGGCAGAGAGCTTGTGCAGGGAAACTCCCCTTTTAAAAACCATCAGATCTCATGAGACTTATTCACTATCAAGAGATCAGCATGGGAAAGGCCTGCCCCCATGATTCAATTACCTCCCACCGGGTCCCTCCCACAACAGGTGGGAATTTGAGATGAGATTTGGGTGGAGACACAGCCAAACCATATCATTTAGTCCCTGGCCCCTCCCAAATCTCATGTCCTCACATTTCAAAACCAATCATGCCTTCCCAACAGTCCCTTAAAGTCTTAACTTATTTAAGCATTAACTCAAAAGTCCACAGTCCAAAGTCTTATCTGAGACAAGGTAAGATCCTTTTGCTTATGAGCCTGTAAAATCAAAAGCAAGTTAGTTACTCCCTAGAAACAATGGGGGTACAGGCATTGAGTAATTTCAGCCATTCCAAATGGGAGAAATTGGCCAGAACAAAGTGGCTACAGGCCTCATGCAAGTCCAAAACCCAAAATGATCTCCTTTGACTCCATGTCTCACATCCAGGTCACACTGATGCAAGAGGTGGCTTTTCATGGTCTTTGGCAGCTCTGCCCCTGTGGCTTGGCAGGGTACAGCCTCTCTCCTGGCTGCTTTCACAGGCTGGTGTTGAGTGTCTGTGGCTTTTCTGGGCCCATGGTGCACGCTGTCAGTGGATCTACCATTCATTCTGGGGTCTGGAGGATGGTGGCCCTCTTCTCACAGCTCCACTAGGCGGTGCCCCAGTGGGGACTCTGTTTGGGCGCTCTGACCCCACATTTCCCTTCTGTACTGCCCTAGCAGAAGTTCTCTTTGAGAGCCCCGCCCCTGCAGCAAACTTCTGCCTGGGCATCCAGGCATTTCCATACATCTTCTGAAATCTAGGTGGAGGTTCCCAAACCCCATTTCTTGACTTCTGTGTATTTGCAGGCTCAACACCATGTGGAAACTGCCAAGGCTTGGGGCTTGCACCCTCTGAAGCCACAGGCAAGTTCTACCTTGGCCCCTTTCAGCCATGGCTGGAGCAGCTGCAATGTAGGGCACCAAGTCCCTAGGCTGCACACAGCACAAGGACCGTGG
The DNA here is from genome assembly GCF_000001405.40 of Homo sapiens. Classification (NCBI taxonomy): domain Eukaryota; kingdom Metazoa; phylum Chordata; class Mammalia; order Primates; family Hominidae; genus Homo; species Homo sapiens. The sequence goes on from NC_000007.14 coordinate 144,427,730, forward strand.
GCCCAGCCCATGAAACCATTTTTTCCTCCTAGGCCTCCAGGCCTGTGATGGGAGGGGCTGCCCAGAAGACCTCTGATATGCCCTGGAGACGTTTTCCCTATTGTCTTGGGGATTAACATTTGGCTCCTTGTTACTTAAGCAGATTTCTGCAGCTGGCTTTAACTTCTCCTCAGAAAATTGGATTTTCTTTTCTATTGTATTGTCAGGCTGCACATTTTCCAAACTTTTATGTTCTCCTTCCCTTATAAAACTGAATGCTTTTAACAGCACCCAAGTTACCTCTTGAATGCTTTGCTGCTTAGAAATTTCTTCCACCAGACATCCTAAATCATCTCTCTCAAGTTCAAAGTTCTACAAATCTCTAGGGCCGGGGCAAAATGCCACCAGTCTCTTTGCTAAAACATAACAAGAGTTACCTTTGCTCCAGTTCCCAACAAGTTCCTCATCTCCTTCTGAGACCACCTCAGCCTGGACTTTGTTGTCCTATTGCTATCAACATTTTGGGCAAAGCCATTCAACAAGTCTCTAGGAAGTTCCAAACTTTCCCACATTTTCCTGTCTTCTTCTGAGCCCTTCAAATTGTTCCAACCTCTACCTGTTACCCAGTTCCAAATTCGCTTCCATATTTTTGGGTATATTTTCAGCAACACTCCACTCTGGTACCAATTTTCTACATTAGTCCGTCTTCATGCTGCTGATAAAGATTTACCCAAGACTGGGCAATTTACAAAGATAGAGGTTTAATTGGATTTACAGTTCCATGCAGCTGAGGAGGCCTCACAATCATGGGGGAAAGCAAAGAGAAGCAAGTCACATCTTATGTGGATGGCAGCAGGCAAAGAGAGAGAGAGCTTGTGCAGAGAAACTCCCCTTTTTAAAACCATCAGATCTCGTGAGACTTATTCACTATCACGTGATCAGCATGGAAAAGACCTGCTCCCAAGATTCAGTTACCTTCCACTGGGTCTCTCCTACAACCTGTGGGAATTTGAGATGAGATTTGGGTGGGGACACAGCCAAACCATGTCACTTCCTTATTCTCAATTTCCATAGACAACCAAAAAGTTCAATTTGATCAATGCATCTGGCACCCATTCCAGGATCACTGAGTGCTATACAATAGTCACTATATCAGATTAGGACCTGGCTCTTCTTGGTCTGCAGATCTAAGAGCTAAGAAGACAAGTTTTCTGCTGCCCATATAACTAGTACCCAGTGGAAGAACAAGAACAGATTAACATCAATAAACACATTCTGGAAATCCAAGAATGGAAGTTATGAGCCTTCACTCTTCTGCTTTATTGGCCTCTTCTCACTAGAAAGAAGGAGCTCTTCTTCCACTTTCTGGCTTTTTTCTGCTGTCTGAAAGGGATCTCATAGTTCTAATTATAATCTATCCCACTGCATAATTAGTGTAAATGATGTTAAAGTGTCTGGTGGGGAGGAGAGAGGCGAGTATCTTTGAAAGGGGCAAAGACATTTCCCAAGGAGGAAGAGGTCATGGTGGGAACCCAGGTACTGCTTTGGCAAAGTTTTATGCGGAGGGAGAGGAACCCCACAGGGTTGGCTTAGTTTGTATCTCAGGACACCCAGGGGAACTGCCATTCCACCTGTTTTTCCTTTTTCAAGGCTCAGTCTTTCCTTTCTTCTTCCCTGCCTCCCTTACATAATTCTGGAGCACACGCTGTGTGCAGACAGCCCTTGGAAGTGGCCTGTGGATTTTTCAGGGAATACGTGATAGTTCTTACCCTGTTGGCACCAACAGTCTACTGGGAGAAATAATTATAATATTGTATGATAATTCTTAAAATAGAAATATTATCAATGTAATCTGGGAGGAGAGAAAAGGAAATGGCCAGCCCTAGAACATCGGTTTCTTCAGTGAACTCTTTATTAATTTCTGTGGTATTGTGCTCTCCTGAATCCTTATCTCAAGAAATTATCTGACTCTTTGTTTTTTGAATGTGCTTTCTCTGTCTCATATCTTTGTAGTTCTTTTTAATATCCAGAGGAATTTATCATGGGTCTGTTTTTGTCCTCTAGGGTTCTTCAAATCTTATAAACTGATGCAGTATGGGAATTTATGGAAAAATATATAAGTAGCTCATAGATTCTAGCAGCAGTGAAAAACAAGACTTGGAAAATGGCTTAGCAGAAGAGAAGTTCCTACTCCAGTAAGATTCTGGGTAGGGCATTACCGTGGGAACCTTGACACTAGAGTGGTGGTTGCTGGGACATCTCTCAACTCTTTCTGCTTTGAGTCTCCAATTCAACACACCAAGTCCTGAGTGGAAGCATCTAATTGACCTCACCTTGATGTGTGTTTACATCCTGGTCACTAGAGGGTAGGGGGAGGGAATAACTGACTTCTTTGCTCCCATAGTGAGGGGTGGGGCCCTGCTCCCACCAAGATCCACACAGTAAAGGTTCTTCCAAAATAGGAGAGTGTTTGGATATTGAATATATAGACAAGCAACTTCTCCCTGTGTCATTGCCTGCCTCCATTTTATCAGAAAATTCTGATTCATCCCGGTTCTATAACAACAGCTCTGACCATCTACTCCTGTTTTTCCAAATGCATTCGGGGCATCCTCTTGGGTGCTCCATGGCATCTAAACTCACATAGGATAATGACCAGGCACATCATTCTTCTTCCCCTTCTCAGACTGTTTCTTTGAGAATCACCTGAGAAATGAGTTAAAAATGCAGATTTCCTAGACTTCCTCTCCCTCCTCTGCAATGCTGATTTTTGAGCTTCTGGAGGAAAGCCGAGGAATCTGCCATTTTCAGCAGGTAGCCCGGGAGATTTTCAGACTAATAATGGCTATGCTCTTTGGGAAACAGGGTTTTCACCTATTACAAATTTTTGCCAATGTTTTCTCTGCTGTATCTCTCAAGTCTTCCCACTCTATTCCCTAAAACAGTATGTCTTCTCTATTGCAAAGACTACTTTCACGCCATCTTTATTATTGGCTTTATACTGTATATGTCCCACCATCACCAGTACAGAACTTCTCATAGGCCTCTCTACCTATTCTGTGGCGATAGCATCAGGGAGAGCCAGGGAAACTACCTTCTACTTTCTGCATCCCTTGGAATTTGTCTGGATTTCCAGAAATTGAGTTTTGTGTGGCTGTTTCGGTTGATACAGTATGAGATAACTGGAGGCCGGGCTTGGTGGCTCATGCCTGTAATCCCAGCACTTTGGGAGGCTGAGGCGGGAGGATCACTTGAGCCTAGGAGTTCAAGACCAGCCTGAGAAACATGGTGAGACCCCATCTCTATAAAAAATAAGAAAATTACCCGGGTGCAATGGTGCATGCCTGTGGTCCAAGCTACTGGGGAGACTGAAGTGGGAAGATCACTTGAGTCCAGGAGGTTGAGGCTGCAGTGAGCCATGTTCATGCCACTGCACTCCAGCCTGGGTGACAGAGTGAGAACCTGTCTCAAGAAAAAAAAAAAAAAAGATAACTAGAAAGGCACAGGTACTGACCATTTAGAATGGATACTGAATAGAAGCAATAGGTGACTGATGCAAAAGTGGCCTGAATCCTCATCATAGTAAACAGTAACTCTTTGACTAGACTTCTGTTTCTGCAACCCAACAGGTTTTCACTAAGGCAGATTTGCACAAGTCATGCCATAAGTCAAATTATTTGTCCATGTGACCTGGCCCTGCTCAAGGGATGTTCTGTATGACCTGCGGTGAATATTCACTCTCTCGTTTGGGCACAGTATGGGCACATTATGATCCAGCCCTTATGATCTCCTTTGGATCTTTCTTTTCAGGCATGATGGTTTAAAGGATTGTTTTGTACCATGGAACTATCCATAGAAAATTATTTTCAGGGTTCTTCTATTGTTCACTAGCCTGGCTTAAAAGTATAGCTTTACTTTCTGTCTTTACAGTAAGCGAGAGGTTAGAAGGATATGCTTGAATAAGGAGACTGCCTTCCTCTACACTGCCAGTATTTTATTAAGAGTATTAGAACATTTTCTTTGTCTTGTATTTTATATATTGATATGATTTTATGTCTTCTCTCACCTTGAAACTTTCATTGTAGATTTTAATTTAAAAGGTGAAGAGGTAGGCCTCAATTTCCTTGATTCTTCGAACTCTGAGTTGGAAGATGATGGTAGTAAATCATTGGAGGCTTAGAGGTGAGAGAGTACCATTTGTTCTGGGAGGATTCTACGTCGTAAATTTGTACTTAGATGTACAAGAATGTTAAACACCAAAGAAAGAAGCCTACATGATCTCTATTCTCGACCTTGAGCAAGGATTAGCATTGTCCTGGGCAGCCTGTAGGAACACACAGTATCACTGCTCCCTTGCGTTTGTACACTAAAGCTTTGCTCTTCCTGGTCAGTCAGAGCAGTACAACCAACAGCTGAATAATATGGGAACTTATCCTGAGAGCTTCCAATCTATTTAACAACATACATATTAATCTAGGTTCACATATTCATATTATGTGAGAAATACTATCTTTCCTTTTTTTTTTTTTTTTTTTTTTCGAGACGGAGTTTCACTCCTGTTGCCCAGGGTGGAGTGCAATGGTACGATCTCAGCTCACTGCAACCTCTGCCTCCTGGGTTCAGGTGATCCTCCTGACTCAGCCTCCTATGTAGCTGGGATTACAGGCATGCACCACCACACCCGGCTAATTTTGTACTTTTAGTAGAGACAGGGTTTCTCCATGTTGGTCGGGCTGGTCTCGAACTCCCGACCTCAGGTGATCCATCTGCCTTGGCCTCCCAAAGTGCTGAGGTTACAGGCTACTATCTTTCTTTATGTTCTCCAAGTCAGTCTAATTTTGACTTTGTAGGCTATATCTCTCCAGGCTGGCAAGAAATTGGGCATGTCATGCTGAGTGTTTCTTTGGGTCCTGGGCCTTATACAGAAGAGACTGCCTGCTTGTCTGTTATTTGTCCTTATAGATCGTCAGAGACATCTGCTCTCCTTGTCTACACATTCTCTTTAGGTCTGAGATCTCTCTGCTTAGGAAAACAAGATATTCTGGGCCGGGCACGATGGCTAACGCCTGTAATCCCAGCACTTTGGGAGGCCGAAGCAGGCGGATCATGAGGTCAGGAGATCGAGACCATCCTGGCTAACACGGTGAAACCCTGTCTCTACTAAAAATACAAAAGAAAAATTAGCCGGGCGTGGTGGCCCGTGCCTGTAGTCCCAGTTGCTTGGGAGGCTGAGGCAGGAGAATTGCTTGAACCCAGGAGGCGGAGCTTGCAGTGAGCCGAGATTGTGCCACTGCACTCCAGCCAGGGTGACAGAGCGAGACTCCATCCCCCCCTCAAAAAAAAAAAGAAAAAGAAAAAGATATCTGTAAACTGTAATCTGTAAACTGGTTCAGTGGTTCTATCTCTGTAGAAGCAGCACAGTCCTCTTCTCTGAGGTCTTGCTTCTCCTCACTGACACTCCCCACCTCCTCAGCCCAGGGACAGATCTTTCTTTTATGAAGCTCCTTCCTGCTGTCTGCTTTCCCACTCCATTCTACAATTTCCCTCAAACCTTGTTCTTACACTGAATCATTAACGACAAAAATTTAGTTTCTCTTTCCTTGAGAACACAAGGACAAAGGCTCAGAAATTGAGGGGTCTATTTGCATCTTATCCTTCTAGTGTAGCAAAGAAAAAAAGAAGGCTGAAACTAGAAGTCTCATATCCTAACAACCAGGCATTTGTTGAGTTCCTACTATGTATAACACTCAATACGCATTCCTTCTTGTGAATTGGTGCTGATGGTAGCTCAGGCACTCTGTTAAGCATTGAAGGCATATGGTTGTCCTTGCCTACATCAGGTGGGGTTCAGGGTGCAGTCAAAAAAATCAATTCTTGCAAATTTAAGCAAAAGGGGCTGGGTGCATCAAAGAAGTCCCCACTCTCCCTCCACCGCCAAAAAAACAAAACAAAAAACAAAAAAAACCATGATGTGGAGTTAGCCAGATGAATGAGAGAAAACACTTAAGAAATATGTAGAGGCCAGGTACTGGAAATGAAGAAAGGCAAATAACAATGAATAATCTAGGCTCTGCCCTCAAAGGGCTTTACAGCTTGGTGAGGAAATGGACCTTTATACTCATAATACAAGGCAATGAATGAAAGGAGGCAAAGCTAGTCACGGTTCGGCTTGGAAATTGCAGCATCAGGGCTTTTAGAAGAAAAGTTGGTCTTGAGCAGCATATAACCTTTAAATACTAACACAGTGGTGGAGCTGATGTTCAAATTGTCTGGACAGATCAAATCTGTCTGGACAAGGGAGAAGAGAGTAGGCTGCCTTGCGTAAACAGTAGAACATTCTAAATGGAGAAGCCATTTTAAAATTCTCTTCCTTGAAACCTTGTCTGGTCAGTGGCAAAATGTCATAGCTGAGTTTGGAAGATTACATACCATTTGCATTGATTAAATTATTTTTGTTAATCAGGGCAGTTAATATTAACAGTGTAATGCTACATGCTGGATGGATGTGTTGTTATGTACTATTGCTACTTATAAAATAGCAACACCTGATCAATTTGGAAGAATAACTTATATTAAGGTGTTCATCTGTATTTTAGCATCATTGCTATAAACAAATCAGAAAGAATGGAAGCTCTTATTTCTTTGTGGACAACTCAATCCTCTCACCCCACACGTCAACATTTTCTTTACCTAACAAGCAGAAATTTGAACCCAAGACCAGGGATGGTGACAGTGGGGTCTTTGCTGTCCCTAGAGCAGATTTAGAGGAGTGCACTCCCTCAAATCTTTGAATCATGGTGTGGAGGAAAAAGGTAAGGGCTTTGAAGAGGCTGATGGGCCAAACCTGGAGGATAGTTTATCTGCAATGAGAAAAGGGGTAAGTTCATGACACCATTTCTTTCTCTCGTTTTTTGTTGTTAGTTTTTATCTCATGATCATAAACTTAACCCTGCAATCCAGCTAGATGTGGAAGAGAATAAGGAAAATATGGAACCCAAAGAATTATAGCAAGAGCACAACGATTATAGGATGCTGAGAGCAAATAGGGTAGAGGGGTGCTCTCCTGAGCTACAAAAGGAATGGTCTGGTAGCTAAGGTAAAACACAAAGCAAATTTATTAGATTTGTCCACAGTCAGCAGTGATGATCTTCTTGCTGGTCTTGCCATTCCTAGAACAGAAGCACTCCATGGCTTCCACAATATTCATGCCATCTTTTACCCTGCCAAAGACCACATCCCTGCCATCCAGCCACTCAGTTTTGGCAGTGCAGATGAAGAACTGGGAATCATTTGTGTTGTGTCCAGCATTTGCCATGGACAAGATGCCAGGACCCATAGGCCTCAGGATGAGGTTCTCATCATCAGACTTCTCCCTGCAGATGGACTTGCCACCAGTGCCCTTATGGTGTGTGAATTCACCACCCTGACACATAAACCCTGGAATCATTCTGTGAAAGCAAGAACCCTTATAACCAAATCCTTTTTCTCAAGTTCTTAGAACAAGACTGTTTTCTGAGGTCTTTGGAACTTTGTCTGCAAACAGCTCAGAGGAGATGCTGCCCAGGGGCTTGCTATGGCGATGATGAAGAACACTGTGAGGTTGAACGTGGCTAGTGGCAAGGGGCTCTGGGTAGCATGGGTGGCATACGCAAATCTCCCCTCATGACTATTTCATGTGTGTATGTATGTGCATGTGTGTTTGTAATCTGTGAATGGTAAAGATCCATGCCCCATTTACACATTACTTCTTATTTGGTTAATAGAATTCTGTCTGATGTGTGAATGCTTGGGGTGGGGATAGGAGATGAACTCTGAGATCCATGCTCTTGAGGCTTATCAAGAAGGATTGCTAGGCCTAAGCTTAGAATAATGAAATACACCACCTATCTGTGAATGAATGATGTGGGCTCAGACAGTAAGCATCTCAGCAGCAGTCTGCACTAAAGATTCTTATGCCCCAAACATTACTGAGTTTGAGTTTCTCAACATGCTGGTGCATGAGAGCTAAAGATCACATTTAATTTGATTCAGGTGTTATTACCAATAAAATAATCTATAAAAAAGTTGCAAGACTGCTTGCAAGGGTATGTTAAAATGAAGAAGCCAAGTTTTTTTTTTTTTTTTTTTTTTTTTCGAGATGGAGTCTTGCTTTGTCACCCAGGCTGGAGTGCAGTGGTGCAATCTCGGCTCACTGCAACCTCTGCCTCCTGGATTCAAGTGATTCTCGTGCCTCAGCCTCCAGAGTAGCTGGGATTACAGGCATGCGCCACCATGCCCAGCTAATTTTTGTGTTTTTAATAGAGACAGGGTTTTGCCACATTGGCCATGCTGGTTTTGAACTCCCGACCTCAGGTGATCTGCCCACCTTGGCCTCCCAAAGTGCTGGGATTGCAGGCGTGAGCCACCGTGCCTGGCCAGAAGCCAAGTTCTAATTTTGAATTCTGTAAATACTTAGAGCTTTCTGATGTGGCTATGGAATAGACTGGTGTCCAATAGAACTTTCTGTGATGATGGAAATGTTTTAGATCTGCACTATTCAGCCCAGTAGCCACTATATGTGGCTATTTAAACTTTTAATTAAAATTAAATACAATTTTAATTCCCAAGTCACACTAACCACATTTCATGTGCTTGGTAGACACATATGGTAGTGGCTTCCATATTGGATAATTCTGGAATCAAAAGAGTCTTCTGTATGGGTGATCTTTATAGCTGGTATTTGGGAAATAGTTTTCAACTTTTCTGCTAACTCTGATAGATTTATCAACCAGAAGGGTCTGCTTGAAGCATTGTGTGGGAAGGACTTGCAATCATATTTAGATACACTGAGAGAGAATGTTGTGGTAGATGGTAATCTGAGTGTGAGAATGAGGTACAGTGCTATGGTTTAATTATTTACCTTTTCTCATTTTCAACTTTTCCTCACATCAGAGAGACCGTGTGTGTTGAGCAAACCTTTCAAAACCTCGCTTCCCGTGTGATCCTGCTTCCCATCCGTTTGGTTCAGCTGTCTCGAGACATCTGTTTCTACTCTTCGTTAAGGGTGGGGACAGTGACAGTGAGTGCGCCCCCGTCCCTATCCCCACAAATCATATACAGTTACACACAGAGTGTACTATAGTTGATCAGCAAACTTGCCTGTGCTGTTCTCTCTTGCAGACTTATATGTCGGATCCTCAGAGAAGACTCAGGCAAATGGAAACTGGGCAGGCAAGCCTTGATTACAAGGAGGAGTAAATGGTGAAGGAAAGAACCGCTTTTTCTGTCCTCATTCCCCTATAAAATTTACATTTTTCCCCCACTAAGAACAACAGTAACATCTCTGCTAATATTATGCTACCATGAACTAACATCTTCCTTTCTTTCCCTATTTTGAACCCTTGGGTGATTTGTCTGGCCATCACACATCGTGATTTTTGAAAGAATTAAGTACATTGACCTCTCGCTGTTAGCATTTCTGTAGTTTGCTCAAGGAGTTTATTTGGGGAAGGGGAGAGGAAAGGTTCATAGGAATAATTTCTTTTTATTTTACTCCCTTATTGTGTATGAGTCAATTTTTTCCCCAATAGCTATGACCTTCTTACAATAAGGGACCATCCTGCAAGTAAGGATGTAAAGTATGAGTCTATTTTTGCCCCAGTAGCTATGACCTTCTTACAGTGGTGTCTAGAAGAGAGGTTGACAAAAGCCAACATGCAATATAGGATTTATTGAACTGAGGTGCCTGGGATTTAATGGAAAGCCTTGTATTTTAGGACTATGTCAAGGATACACTATCTGATTTTCTCAACTTCCATGGCTAAATGAAGATTATCAGAGACAGGAACCCAATTCAGGCTGGACTGCCAACAGCTACCCGAGTCGCTGTTAAGCCCTGGTACCCTAATAATGCCACTGGTATCAATCCCCCATTTTTTCAGTACTTTATCATTAGGATACTGTTCATAGGGTTTGCAGATGGTGGGCCCACTGAACTGAGCTGAAAATATAGATGTCTACCTGGCCAACAAGTAGTGGAAATAGACACACTACTTGTATGTATGTGGAATATACAAATCATAGTTTAGTAAGGTTTGACTGCCACCTGGTGGGGGAAATTCTGCAGTATGTTCATTTCAATGTCAAAGGCATAAATAAGACTCAAGTCATTAGTCACCTAACTGTAGGCTTGGATGCCTAAGATATTCCAAAATAGTTCAGTTGCCTTAAAGGAATTAAAGACTTATAATTGTGGTTGTGTTAGGGCATGTGCCTGCTATCTGCAAATATGATTGCTCATTAATCAAGTAAAACTCAGGCACCAGATTCATTGTCTTCGAGGGTTCTTTCCAGCTCTGAGGTTGTGTCAGTCTTCACCTAGACTTTGAGAATAAACTTGAGGCCAGAATTATTAAGATTCTTATTGCCAGCTGGAGCTAACATACATCCTACCAATTCCAAGCCGGGTGTGAAATCTCCTAGAAACCACCCACTCTTAGATCTCATGGAACAAATTAGAACAGGAAGGAATCCTCATCTCTCTTTATCAGAAAATAGCCCTGTAAGCAAGGAGCATGTAAAGAAGTAGAATGGAAAAGCAGGCAAGTTAAGTTTTAACAATGCTAAGCACCTGATAGATTTTCCTTAAGTTGATTCTTTTTTTTTTTTTTTTTTACCAATGTCTGAAAAAAAAAAAAAAACTACACAAAACAAGGAAAATGATCTACTTTCTTTGGGTTGTGGAACAATCTAGGGTATAAGGAAGACATCTTTATCTTGTAGAATGACCAGTATAACAATATGTTGTATCAGATTTATACCCTTCCCAGATTTCCTTGCTCCCTTTTCCTGGGCCACTGGCTGCTGGCTCCATGAAGAGTCCCATCACTTCTGTCCCCTCATGGAACATCACTGTCCACCTTGTCTTCCTCCAATGATGAAGGCCCAGTTTAATGGGCCTAGTCAGGTCAGGTGTGGGCACCAACGCCGCTGCAGCTTCCACTGTGCCAGGTTCAGTGAGAGCCATGCTGGAGCCTACCTTCCCCTGGGAGAGGCCAAGGGAGATGTCACTGAAGTGCCTGGACTCAGCTTCCTCACTGGCTGCCTGGAAGAACCAGTGACAACCCTAGTGAAAGTGCAGTGGTAGGCGCTGGGTCATAGGCAGAGGGATTTGCTTGTGCAAAGGACTTGGGAGAGCAAAGAGAGTTCAGAGAACTGCCCATTGTCGGCGTGGCTGGAGTGTGATGAGCAGATGGGAGAGGAAGGCAGACAGATGACACAAGGCTTTGCAGGATGACCTTGAACCTTAGCCCATGTCATTGGTAAGCTATGTAAGCAAAAGAGTATTGCAAGCAGGTTTGTGGTTTAAGATCTGGCTGCATGGTAGGGACATGATTAGAGGGAGACAGAGCTTGAGAAAGGGAGATAAGGAGATGGTTGGGGGAATGGAGACTGGAGATGATGGGGGCACTACGTGGTGGCAATTGACTTGTAGTCAGGTGACCAAAAGTCCTGTTCTGGCTCTGTCACTAACTTTGGTTGAATTATTTAAGTCTTCTGCTGTTCCATGTTCTCATCTATGAGTCAGAGTTAAAACTACCTCAGCTGGGTTCAGTGGCTCACATCTGTATCCCAGCACTTTGGGAGGCCGAGGCATGCAAATCACCTGGGCTCAGGAGTTTGAGACCAGCCTGGCCGACATGGTGAAACCCTGTCTCTACTAAAATACAAAAATTAGCCAGGCGTGGTGGCACGCACCTGTAATCCCAGCTACTTGGGAGGCTGAGGCAGGAGAATCACTTGAACCCTGGAGGCAGAGGTTGCAATGAGCTGAAATCACACCATTGTACTCCATCCTGGGCCAAAAGAGCGAAACTCCATCTCAAAAAAGCAAAACAAAAGAAAACAAAAACTACCTCATTCCTAGTCTTGAAAATTAAATAATTTGAATGCACTTACTAATAGGTGCTTCATAAATACGATTTGGGTGTGAAAGGTGTGAGGATGGAGTGGCCTCCCCTGAGTTAGCACAGCTGTCAGGCCAGCTGAGCACAGCCACCACCAAGACCTCACTAAAGTAGGCCCTAGGTTTTCTCAAGATAACAAGTGATTTACTTGGATGTAAGGAGCGTTATCTGTAAATACTGTCTCCACAGGATTAAGGGGGCAGAACGATTGCCGGTGATAGAAATGTCAACAGCAAAAGGCCAGTAGGACACTAGAAACAGCAGTGTCAGGATGTGCCAGCTGGCATTTGCTGCACGCTGTGCTATGAGTGTGTGAGCACACAGATAAACATTGTAATTAACCATCCTGGGGTGATAGTATGTTCATACAGTCAAAACAGGTGATAGATTCGAAATGCAATTTGAACTTAATCATTTGGGTGGGGTGATTTCAGAGTCAAGTAATTTAGCAAACCATTTTTAAAGGGTGCTAATTAAAAATTGCCTGGGGTTATCAATTTGCTGCCAGAACTGCAGAAAAATGGGCATGGAAAAATTTCAGTCCAGCTAATTATTGGCTAAAGCATAAGACTTGATTACCATGTCAGGGGAATTTTTTAAATGGGGATATTTTCATTCAAAGCTTTTAATTTTTTAATTTAGGGGAAGAATTATTGAGACAATAGAATTAGATATATTGAGAGACTATACTCCCGGGGTGAGAAAGACACAGTATCTTATTTGCTTTATTTTGTTCATCATTAATTATATCTAGTGTCATTAAGGCAAATAAATTTTTGTGTACTGGATTGAGGAACCTTGGAGTCCTAGTTTGCAGACGCTTAATTGTCTGAGATACCACTGAACCCTAAAACACAAGTGCACAGTTATGGTGTTTATTTCAGTCAGCAGAGTCTCAGAGTTTGATGAGAGCATTTAGTGTGCTGTGAGGGTGGCTGATGCAATTCTTCTTGGTGCTTTTCCACTTTCCTATAGATATTTTAAAAGTTAGGTGTCCAGGAAATCTCAATAAGAATCAGACTGTGAAGTTTAAAGGGGACAGACAGCATGATGGTCTTATTCTGTGCTCAACTCCCAGTGCCTGGCATATGGGAAATTCTCAGCAGGCGTTTGCTGAATGAAGGAATGCACCTGCCCTGTTGCTCTAGAGCCTTGGGAAACATCTGTGAAAACAACAAAAGTCGCTGCCCTCATGGAGATTACATTCTAGCAAGGGGAAGAGAGGTAATATAATAAGTAAATTATGTGGGATGCTAGGTGACGAATTCTTTGGAAAAAATAAAATTAACACTAAGTAAGGGGCATTGAAAGTGCCAGGGATACGGTGGGGTGGAGTTGGGTTAGTGGGCCTATTTCTTTATTCAATACGAAGCTCCAAGGAGGCCTTGTTGAGAAAGTGAGGTTTGAAAAATGATATGAAAATGGCAAGGGCTCTGGCTAGACAGACATATGGGGAGGTGCATTCTAGGCAGAGGGAACAGCTAGTGCCAAGGCTGCAAGGGTTGTGTCTGAGGAGTAAGGAGGCCTGTGAAGCTTGAGCAGAGTGAGCAGAGGGAGAGCAAAAAATAAGATTAGAGAAGTAATGAGGGGAGTCAGTCAGGCTATCTAGGACATTTCAGTCCATTGTAAAGACTTTGCCTTTCTTCCTAATCCTAAGCAGGATTTTAAGTAGAGAAATGGCATGACCGGCTGTGGCCACTGTGCTAACAGTCAGGAAGGAGCTCAGGGTAGAAGCAGGAACCATTGGGAGGCTACTGCAGTCATTCACAAGAGAGACCACATGGCCTGAACCAGAGTGATCATGACAGAGACAGCAAGAAGGAGTCAAAATCCATTTTGAAAGCAGAACTAGCAAGTGCAAGAGAAAGAGGAAATCAGAATGACTCCATGGCTTTGGGCTTGAAAACGAGAAGGATGGGATTACCAGCAATTGAGATGGGGAGGTAGGAGATGACACAGGCTTTTAGGAGAAGAGTACTGGTTTAGTCTTCGACATGCTGAGTGCGAAAAGTCCATCAGATATCAGAGTGGAGATGACAAGTAGAAGATTCAGTATGTGACTTTCCATGCATACGTTGTTGGAGACCGTATGTACTAGGTGTGACCACTAAGAGTGAGACACAATGAAAAATAAAAGAACGAGGCCTTACCTAGGAGCCGTCCTACATTAAAAAGCTGGAGGAAAAGATGAGGAACCAGTGAAGGGTACAGAAGACTGACCAGTGAGATAGATGTAACACCAGGAGAGTGGAGAGTTTAGTGTCCTGGGAGTCAAGGGTAGAATGTGATAATTGTATTAAATATTGATGAGCTATGTCAAGTCCATTGAGGACTGAGGCTTGACCACTGACTTTAGCAATATGGATGTCACCAGCGCCCAGTTGTTTTGGTGGAATGGGGAGGACAACGCATCCTTGGAGTGGGTTTAAGAGAGAAACAGGAGGGGAATTGGAACTAGAGTGCACTTAGACAACATTTAAAAGTATACTGCGAAGGAGAATAAAGAAATGAGTTGGTGGCTGATAAAGGAAGCAGGGCCAATAAAACAATTTAAGATAGTACTTTTTATGCCAATTGGAATGATCCAGGGGAAAGGAGGACAAAACCCATGATGTAGGAAAGAGAGGGGCAGATTGCAGGATGACCCTGAAGGGACCAGAAAGGAGAACTGTGCACAAGTGGATGGCCAGCTTTGATGGGAACGGTGGATGGTTCACTATGGTAACAGAAGGAAAGGCGGCAGGGGCAGATGCTGGTGGGTGGAGAATGGGATGGAGTCTGAGTTCTTTTTTGATTGCTACAATTTTCTCAGAGAAGTTGGAAGCTAGGTCACCAAATGGAAGTGAGGAGTTGGGGAAGACGTACTGAAAGTCTGAGGAAGAGGAGCAGCCATGAAAGAGAAACAAAGAAAATGGGAGAATGAATGGATTGGGGACATGCAGTAGAATTGCCAGGCATCATTGAAGACCCACTTAAAAAAGGTGTATCTGGATGTGTGCATGCAATTTTAAGTGAGGTCAGTCGTCACAGTTGTCATGTTTTGTTTTTGTATTTTTTTTTTTTTTTGAGACAGAGTTTCGCTCTTTTTGCCCAGGCTGGAATGCAGTGCCGTGATCTCAGCTCACTGCAAACTCTGCCTCCTGGGTTCAAGTGATTCTCCTGTCTCAGCCTCCCGAGTAGCTCGGATTACAGGGATGTGCCACCACGCCCGGCTAATTTTGTATTTTTAGTTGAGACGAGGTTTCTCCATGTTGGTCAGGCTGGTCTCCAACTCCCGACCTCAGATGATCCACCCGCCTCGGCCTCCCAAAGTGCTGGGATTACAGGTGTGAGCCACCGCGCCCGGGCCCTTGTTTTTTTTTCCTTATTCCCCCCAGCAATTTTCAGGTGCAGGAGAGGGAGAGGGTGGGATTGTGATTGGGTTTCGCCTGGTGAGCCTGAGTCCACGGGATAAGCAATAGCATGATTCTAACTGAAATGGAGTTTGCACAGATGCTTAATGATTGTCTGTTGAATGAATAAATGATTTAAGGAAAAGCTGAAACTTTATAAAAAAGAAAAAACATGTGCATGGGAATAATAAGTGCCATCTCAATGTCTGAGAAATTGCAGAATGAGTCAGACGATGAGGGTCTTCGTGCTGGCTGCTGTTCTGTGTGCCCTGTCAGCCTCTGCCTATTCCTCTGTCCTCCTTCCGTGGCCTGTCTACACGTTTCTATTCATGAGGACCTTGGAGAATTAGATTGTGTCTGCCTCTATGGGCCTTGTTGAGCCTCTCTGTTTCTGTGAATGTCTTCATAATGTTTGAATAATAATTTACTGAGAAGGTTTATTTTTTTCTTACATATATTTTAAATATTTTAAATCATATACACCAGTTTTTAAAAATTCTGATTTATAAACATACATGTAACCTATTTTTACAAAATATAGAAAAATGTAGATAGATTTATAATGAAAAAGTTTACCTACAATATCATCATTCAAAGTCAACCATGTTAAAAATTAAATATATTCTCTTCCAGTATTGGCTATTATTTACATAAATGTAATCAAAATTACATATGCACTGTATCCTTTATGCTCTTAGTATTAGTCTATTATAAATTTCTCACAAACATTCTTTTTACTGGATACATAAAATCCCATCTTCCACTTCTATAGTAACTTCGGTGTTAATAATTTAAGGTAGGCCAGGCACGGTGGCTCACGCCTGTAATCTCAGCACTTTTGGAGGCCAAGGTGGGTAGATCACCTGAGGTCAGGAATTCAAGACCAGCCTGGCCAACATGGTGAAACCTCATCTCTAATAAAAATACAAAAAGTTAGCCAGGCATGGTGGCAAGTACCTCAGGAGGCTGAGGCAGGAGAATTGCTTGAACTTGGGAGGTAGAGGTTGCAGTAAGCTGAGATCGCGCCACTGAACTCCAGCCTGGGAAACAACAGCAAAACTTCCTCTCAAAACAAAGCAAAACAATAATTTAAGGTAATTCTGTCATTCCGAGTGGTTTAGAGAAGGGAAGCAAACTTTCCACTCTCTTCTTCTTTCCCTATCTCCTGTGCCCACAGTGAATGCTCCACTTTAGCACTATCTGCAGTCTTCCCCATCTGTGTTCCCATGTACTTCTGCCTCTTTTTCTTCCTCTTCCCATGTCTCTTTGACTCCTGGCTCCTTTCTCTCATTTGTCTCCTATTCATTTACCATAATGTAAGTTCTGTGAGGGCATCCTTATACCCTAATGTCTGTCTTACAGTAGGTACTAAAATTTGCATGTAAGGACAATGATATGTCAACCTGGAATATCCCATTTAACTGGACTGTGGTTTATTGAAAGTTAACTTCTAATGAAATGGCCAGGGTTAGTTTCCTGCCGGGGACTGTGGAACTCCATCTACCCAGGGAAACTCATTTTTATCTACATTCTTGCATCCATAGTCTTACAGAGAGCAAACTCTTCAGTCATAAATCTTCTACTTAGAAACCTGACCAG
The DNA here is from genome assembly GCF_000001405.40 of Homo sapiens. Classification (NCBI taxonomy): domain Eukaryota; kingdom Metazoa; phylum Chordata; class Mammalia; order Primates; family Hominidae; genus Homo; species Homo sapiens. The sequence continues at coordinate 144,444,645 of NC_000007.14, forward strand.
TAGATGCAGTATTGGTAAATTTTCAATGAGGCCATAAGAATGCATTTACAAAAAGTACAAAGTTAAGGTTGCTTGTGATGATTTTAGCTAATCAGCACAATTTTAGCAGGAAGCAGATACATCTGTCCTTTCCCTCAAACTTCATATAGCTATAAAATATTCAATTTCCTGAAGGAGTTACTCAACACACAAACTTGGAGATTAATTTAGAGGCCAGATCCCCACAAGCATTTGTCTAGCCTTAGACTGAACAACTTCTGTTGCCGGGAGCTTGCCATGTCTAGTGGGAATGGGTCTGTTCTGTAGTTGTTGGATGGAAAAATTGTTAGCAGAGTCTTTTTTATGTTAAGATGAAAAGTGCCTCCCACAGAGTCAACAAAAAGGTTCTGGTGTGTGGAATTTTTTAAGGATGCTAAAGTATGAATAATTGGAAACTTTAGTAATTTGAGGCTTCTGTGATTTCTCTAATTCTTTGTAGTCAATCCATTTATCCGATCCCCTTTAATGCTAACATTATTTACTTGATTTTAGTTCTGTGAAGCTTTGGCTCTTATAAATGACACATCTAACCAAGGGAATGGTTAAGCCTTAGAGCAACTTGTGGAAAGTTTTCATTCCTCAAAACAGGAATGAATAACAATGGCCTCGATATGACTAACATTATTAATGTATTTATATGGGTACATAATTACTAGCAATATCTAGAGCATTATGAAAATGATTTGCATAGCCACTTCTTAAAATTTAGGGCAGGGAGGCCGAGGCGGGCGGATCACAAGGTCAGGAGATCAAGACCATCCTGGCTAACACGGTGAAACCCCATCTCTACTAAAAATACAAAAAGTTAGCCAGGCATGGTGGCACGTGCCTGTAGTCCCAGCTACTTGGGAGGCTGAGGCAGGAGAATCACTTGAACCCGGGGGGCGGAGGTTGCAGTGAGCCAAGATCATGCCACTGCACTCCAGCCTGGGCAACAGAGCAAGACTCCGTCTCAAAAAAAGAAAAAAAAAATCTCTATCCTATATCTCTCAAGCCTTGAAAATAATATATTGGCTTCTTCATGATTTAATCCAGGGCTTCCTCATGAAACTTATTGCTCAATGCCACTGGAATGCAAATATTCCAACTGACCATGCTGCTCAGTTCCTTGCAATAGAATTGAATAAAAACTTGGATTAAAAGGTCAACTTTAAAATATGCCTAATAAATTCACTGACTAAAAGCTATCCCAACAACTTTCTGCATCATTTCTCTTCATCTCATTATTCATGTAGGCTTCCCTGAATTTTAAGGAATGCAAATAAAAGAGCAGAATGTGTGGAGCACTGGGGCCTAGGACATTCTTTTCATGAATATGGAACTAAAGGTAGAGTGAAAGGTATTTCTTAAATAAATTACGTTGATATGGTGGAGAGAGTATTGATGGATGCTTATGTATTTTCTATAGCACAAAAAAGTAAAACTCATATATTATTCTAAGAATCCCTTATTTTATGTCCTTCATATATTTGGTCCCATAGCTATAATATTGGGAGCCTCATTACTTCAAAATGATTATTTTTAAAATTTCCTAACCTATGATACTAAAATTATTGGGGTTATTCAGCAAGTTGTCGTGGGACAAAGCATGGGAATTTCTATAAGGGAGAGGTGAGCAGAATGTCATAATATTACATAAAAAGCTTTCTCATGCATTCTACAAATAGTTGCTGAGTAACCACGTGTTAATAAAAAAAGTGATATAAAGGTAACACTTTTGGAAGGAATGAGATCATGTCCTTTTCAGGGACCTGGATGGAGCTGGAAGCCATCATCCTCAGCAAACTAACATAGGAATAGAAAACCAAACACTGCATGTTCTCTCTCATAAGTGGGAGTTAACAGTGAGAACACATGGACACAGGGAGGGGAACATCACACACCAGGGCCTGCTGGGGGTTGGTGGGCAATGGGAGGGAGACCATTAGGGCAATTACCTAATGCATACAGGGCTTAAAGCCTAGATGACAGGTTGATGGGTGCAGCAAACCACCATGGCACATGTATACCTATGTAACAAACCTGCACGTTCTGCACGTGTATCCCAAAACTTAAAAAAAAAAGAATAACTATAAAATAAGAATTCTAACTCAAAAACAAACAAAAAAGAATTATTATGAAATAAAGAAGAATTCTAACTCAAAAACAAAACAAAAGATAACTTTTTCGGGAGGCTGAGGCAGGCAGATCGCTTGAACTTAGGAGTTCAGGACCAGCCTGGGCAACATGGAGAGACCCCATCTCTACAAAAAAAAAAAAAAAAAAAATTAGCCAGGCATGGAGGCTCATGCCTGTAGTCCCAGCTACTTGGGAGACTGAGGCATGAGAATCATTTGAACCCAGGAGATGGATGTTGCAGTGAGCTGAGATCGCACCACCGCACTCCAGCCTGGGTGACAGTGAGACCACTGTATAAAAAAAAAAAAAAAGAGCCCATAATCCCAGCACTTTGGGAGGCTGAGGCAGGCGGATCACCTGAGGTCAGCAGTTCGAGATCAGCCTGGCCAACATGGTGAAACCCTGTCTCTACTAAGGATACAAAAATTAGCTGGGTGTGCTGCCAGGTGCCTGTAATCCCAGCTACTCGGGAGGCTGAGGCAGGAGAATCTCTTGAACCCTGGAGGTGGAGGCTGCAGTGAGCTGAGATCGCACCACTGCACTGCAGCCTGGGGGACAAGAGCATCTGAGACTTTGTCTCAAAAAAAAAAAAAAAAAAAAGAAAGAAAAGAAAAAGAGAAAGAAAAAAAACATTAGCTGGGCATGGTGCCAGGTGCCTGTAATCCCAGCTACTCGGAAGGCTGAGGCAGGAGAATCGCTTGAATCTGGGAGGCACAGGTTGCGTTGAGCCGAGATCCCGCCACTGCACTCCAGCCTGGGCAACAAGAGTGAGACTCTGTCTCAAAACAAAACAAAACAAAACAAAAAAGCACTGAATCCAAATCACAAATAATGAGATTTAGCATAGGGAATTCAGTTGCAGACAGCATAGCGTTTATTTTTTATGGTTTTAGACTCCTCAGGCTAATTTCATATGCATGTTAAAGGTTTAATTTGTAGAATAAGTAAATTTAAACACAAGTAAAATATTAGAATTGAATGCCAAGGTCTCATAGTATTTGAAAATCACATGTACTCTTGTCTGGAATCCACCTCAACTCTTGACAGCCATGGTCATGTCTTGAACTTCCAAATCGAGAAACCACTCCAGCTACAAGATTTCTAACTGAAAATTTTCTCTTAACCTTTTACTTCTTCTATTTTTCCTGTTAAATGAGGTCAATTAAACATGCTCTTCACTTGCTGGGCGTGGTGGCACATGGCTGTAATCCTAGTTACTTGGGAGACTGAGGCAAGAGCATCCCTTGAGTCCAGGAGTTTGAATCCAATTGGGGCAACACAGGAAGAACCCGTATATTAAAAAAATAAAAAAATAAATGTCTTCATATTTACTTTGACTTTGACTCTTTTAGCTTACACTAATATTCTAAGCCTATGATGATTACTTGTCTCATGGCTTTCATGTTCCCATGAACATGCTAGCCATTTTGAGCAACTGAAAATTGCTTGGCCTTTTGATTTTCCTTTGTTACTAGCTGAATGTTTTGCCCTGGCCTTGGCCTTGGAACATCACTTTCTTCTTCAGATATGTGAACAAGGACGGATACAACCAGATCTAACCAGACTAGGTTTAGGATATGTATCTTTCAGATTGAGGAACCCACTCAAGGGCAACATTAACATACAGAGGCTTCTTGACTTATGATGTGGTTACATCCCAATAAACCCATCATAAGTTGAAAATATCATAAGGCAAAAATGCGCTTAGTACAGCTAACCTACCAAACATCATAGCTTAGCCTAGCCTACCTTGAACATGCTCAGAACACTTACATTATCCTACAGTTGGGCAAAATCATCTAACCCCAAACCTATCATAATAAAGTTATTTTAAAGAATTTTACATCAAAAGTCAAAATTCGAAGTAAGGTTTCTACTGAATTCTAGCTTTTACACTACTGTAAAGTTGGAAAATCCTAAGTCACACCATTGTGAGTCAGGGACTGTCTGTATCTACTTTAAATCTTGGTTAGTTAGGGAACAAGGAAAGAAAAGAACAATAGTTGTCAGGGACTAGAGAAGCGGTACAGTATGTTCCCTCAGCACGGATACAAGCAGGGACTTCGGTTACTGCACTAGTGGTGCTGCACAAATATTACTGCTCACTTGCTACAGACAAGGCCCTACTCTAGGAATAGGACATACAGCAGATGACAGTCAAGGACCTCAAGGGGTTCATATTCTAGTAGAAGGTTCATACTGTTTAATGGTTAACAAAATTATGCCATTCAGATAAAACTGCTCAATTCTTGCATAATTTTATTCTCATCATTTCCCATGTTTATTGTTCAAAAATACAATGGGCTATTAAATATTCACTATTCTTTAGGTTTTAAAAATATAAGGGTTATGGTATGATTTGCCATCCTACATTTATCAGTTCCTTTGACTATTAGTTAAAAACACTTTTCTACCTCTGGACTCTGTATACATCTCAGATTTCTTGGTTCTCGGGCACCAGCTATGGGTCCATTGTGAGAAATTTCCTACTTTTCAACTGTGAGCGCTCTCGGGGCCTTGCTTACATTTTTCAAGTTATCTGCAGGGATGGAATTAGTTTTTATTTGTTGTGTACAAAGTCCTTGCTTTCGGTGGTAGAATGAAATACTTAGAGAACAGTCCATGGATCTATTTACTTCCCATGACCTGTGAAGAGGAGTGATGTTGCCAGGACCTCTTTCCTGGGTTGTACCCAGAGCTGTTTTCTGCACGCTCTGAGCCTCCAGGGATGCCATCCCAATGGAGGCTAATTGATCAAGGCTGCCTGGAGAATTGTTTTGAGATAGATTCTGAGGCTTAGGCTGGGGATCATCAGAAAAGAAAATTATGATTGATAAGTGAAATCTGCTGTGGGCAAGGAAGGGTAAACTTGTACTTTACATGCCAGGAATTTTCGAATCTGTATGTGACTCCCAAGAAAGGCTTGACCTTGTAGCTTCGATTTTAATCTCCGCAGGTATAAGGATAATTCATTTTATGTTGAATAGACTGCTCTAAAGACAATTTAAATAATCTAATACCCCTGCCCATTTCCTAAGAGAGTTGTGTTGACTGTTTTATTCCCAAATAGGATCAAATTCAACCTGCTGTCATTGGTAGATCATTCTTCTTAACACACATGTAAGAATAAAAACTATTATTAGTTTGGTGATAAAGGCAGTGAAACAAACACCGAGAATAGGAGTAGAAAAATGTTCTGTGTGACCTTGGTTAAATTATGAGGCAAATAAGTTGAAATATCTCCAGATACATTCTCGCTCAAATATGCCAGTTTTCAATAATTTATTGAAATCATATAAATTCTGAAACAGATTTTTAAAATACTTTAATAATGGGATATCTTAATTATTTGATGGGAAGTATTTTTTAAAATTACACTCCTATTGTCCTAAATTTATGAAAAAAAATGAATGTTCAATGCAGAACACTTGCATAAATACACACACTTTTTAAAAAAGGTACCTTTATGCATTTTGCTCTGCCCTTAGGCACTCTTTTTCCAATCTAGAATATATTTCTGGATGTTTTTCAATTGACAATAAAATTACTGGAGTACACGCATGTTTTATTGTGTTTGTGTGTGTCTATGGACTGGATCACAAGGTATACCAGATGTATTTCTAGTGGGCCATGGTAAATATAGTCTGAAAGTCACCATTCTGACCATACCCCTCTCAAAATCACAGAGCCTTGGAGAAGAGAAGAACAGTTTCTTGCTGCGTACTGACTTGGCACATACCATCAGTCGCAATCAGGCCAGATCTATGTGCTGCTTTATTTTCACAGTTCAAGTAAAGCTGTGGAAAAAGTCTGAGCAGCAGTAGTAGGCAAGGTCTGTGCCACACACGGAAGCAGAACGCAAAATGCATTCCACACACATAGAAGTGTGACACAAAAGTTTGAGCATTTACCTGTATGAATGCCCCAGTCTGTGTCCACCGCTTCTTTGCTCTGAGTGATGCTCACCCATGCCCCCCTAGTCCCAATTCCTTGAACCACACATATAACTTATTACATGTCATGGTCATGTGTGACTCCAACCAGGTTGCAATAGCTGCAGTGATTTTCAGATTTTCCCTGCTTTCTAAAGAGAAGTGAGATCATAGCATGTTTTCACTAATCAGTGATTTAGGTAGACAGATGACATTTGGGGGTGACAATAACTAGATTTATAAATGCTACAAATCCGACCCATAGAAATAAGAAAGTGACTGGAGTCAGAAGGTCAAGGAGCACCTGTCACTTTCCCAGCAGGGCCCAACCTGCAGTCTCTTTTATGGCTACAAGCTGGAGGTCAGGATCTGAACTGAACAGGAGTAAGAGAAGAGGGACTTCCCAGGGGGGCTCAGATAGTTCACTGGGTGTACCTGAGATCTCACTATCTGCAGACTTGTATTGTTATAAAAATAAGTGAATACTTAACTGCCACGGTGGGATAGCACATAAAGAGAAAAACATACTTAGGTAGTTTTAAGGAATGGGAAGGGGTGAAATATAGTCATCCCCTGATATCTGCAAGGACTGGTTCCAGGACAACTTCTCCAACCCCCAACCTGCAGATACCAAAATCTGTGGATGGTATACTTAAGTCCCTGATATAAAATGATGTGGTATTTGCATATAACCTATGTACATCCTCCCGTATATGTTACATCATCTTTAGATTACTTAAAATCCCCAATACAATATAAATGCTAAGTAAACAGTTGTTGTACTGTATCGTTTAGGAAATAATGACAAGAAAAATGTCTGTCTGTGTTCAGTACAGATGCAACCATTCTTTTCTTTACAAATATTTTCAATCCATGATTGATTGACTGAATGTATGGATGTGGAACCCACTGATACAGAGGGCTGACTGTAATAAAACCAGCACCTAGCGCTGTATGAAAGGTTAGCACTCCCCTTGACAAGAATGGAAGAGGCCCTCGGGCCTGACAACACACATATGGTTAAAACTAGCACCTAACTCCTCAGTAGCCTGGCAGGAACTGGGAATGGTGGCCTATGTTTTAAGAGAACCCCTTCTGTGGGCCCCCAATGGCTACAGCCTGATACTCAGGTGATGGTGTGAGATAAGCCTCAGTGCTTTTTTTTATCCCCTGTCCCCCAATATTTACTAAGCTTCAGGAAACTATATTCTTTTTTGATAAGTATCCATTTATTAACACTGGTAACATTTTCAGGGCACACAGAACATGCATTCTTTGGTAGCAAAATTTTAAAATCACAGATATATTTCTTTTATATATTATGAATATATTTCTAGTAAGGAATATATAACTAGTCTTCAGAAACTGAAGATGGAAACATAGCTAAGCCTCAACTTCCGGTCAAGCAGAAAGTAATGAAAAGTGCCGAAAATGCCACAGTCACATGGGCCACTGCTCCTTAAATGCCACAATCACGCGGGCCACTGCTCCTTTCATTCTCTACAGACAACCTGAGTCTCACACTGTCATAGCACCAAGAAGAAAACAGTTACTTTCACTTTTCTTATAGCAACATAGGGATTTGTGTACATAAAACATGTTGGACAGGTTCTCCTTCAATCATGGTTTGTATGTCAACAGTTGGTTTCATAAAACAGAGAAAGGTGGAAAGAAGATAGAAGATGGTCTCTTTACAAAAGAAAGGTGAATACATTTCGATGCACCAGGTTGTTTAGGCTAAGTCAGTAACTGTGTGTATTATCAGCCCTATGACTGCTAAGTGTCAATATTTAGAATTTCAGTGTGGGAAAGAACCTCAGACACCATCAGTCCAACCGCTTCCATTTTACAGCTAAGGAAAAGGGTCCGGAAACTTAGGTGAATATCAGACTGGGATGAGAACGCAGGCTTTGGAGTTAGGCTCCTTAGTATATGAAGTTCATGTATCCCCATAGACAAACTCATTTTCTGGTAATATGAATACACTTCTGGATGAACCAACAGTTTTTCAGTCTAAGGTATGTCAGAAACGAATTCAATTTTTATGCTTAAGTTTCCTCTGCACAGCTTTCTCCATTTAGGTTGTGATGATGATGCAGACTGTTACCCCCTCTAGACTTTTGCATTCTTACTTTTGAATTTGGGGGTTAATGTGTGAGTAGGGCTCCACGAATCATCATTTATCTTTCACATCATTTCTCTTTCCACCTATTGCTAACTACCTATTTTTAAATTTAACAATTAGGTCAATGATTCTTGATTTATTTAAGACAATACCAAAGACAGTAATAAGGTCAGAGTGACCTGGTGCACTTCTAACACCCCAATCTGAAAGGAATTTTTTTTCAGTATAAGATAATATATATCATATACAGAAAACTAATACTAAAAGGTACTCAGAGGTAGCCCTTGTTGTTAGACATTTAAGGATGTTCTAGACTCCAAGAGGAACCTCAACAGTTTTCTCTGATTCAAATTAAAAACAATTTTCTAGGATAAATGGAATGATTAATAATGTAAGAAGAATAATCAGTACTGAATTGTATAGTGGAATGATTCCCATTAGGTTCCAACCGAATATAATAGAGCTTATTTGCTTTCTTAGCATGTATCTTTCCCACTACTATAAAATTGAGATCTGTCATTTATAATGTTACCTGTATTATCTAAACACTAACATCTTTAAACCCAGTGGGCTTCCCCTAGAGAGGTTTAGATTCTTGCAAACCCAGGTGAATCGTTCTTGTTGAGCAATGAACTGTTGAGAAATGAGATAAGGCAGAGGCACACTTATGGATGCCAGTCAACAGGTTAGCTTTTGATGGCCATGGTCCAGAGGAGTGGGTGGTCAGTTTCCACAGTCACAACACCAGACCCGTCGTAGGTATTGGAAGTACTGACCAATGTTCCAAAAGCAAGCACATCATTTGCTGTAAGAAAATAAGGGAAAAAAATTAGTAACTATTTTTTTTCTTCCTCCAGTGTAGATTAACTTTGTCACTTACCAAAAAGCAAGTACACACTTTGATAAAAATATATATAAATGTGGGATAGGTGAAATATATGATGTATGGCTTTAAAATGGGTAAGTTCTATAACTTGCTGTAAACATTCTTCCTGGAATTGGTTATTGACCATTTTGGGTTATATATCATTCTCAATATTAAATTTTATTAGAATCTTTTCTTTTTCTTTACTAATTATAAAACCAAAACCTGTATTTGTAATGTGCTACTTACTTCCTTCCCTGGGTACAATTTTAGTTTCTCTTGATAATTCAGAATTAAAATTTAATATGTTATTACACTCTACAGAATGTAGTTTTAGCTTCAAGTAGAAATGATATGAGACAGATAGAAAATTACCTAAAAAAATGCATGTGATTTTGGTTACTGTTTTCTCATAAAGTAAGAAAAGCCAAAGTGAATACAGCTTACATTCTGTAAAATTAATAGAAACTCAAAGGTCAAAGCCGACTTTCAAATGTGTAATCTTGAGCAAGTCACTTAAGCTCAGCCATAAAGTGAAGGCAAGAGATGATAAGATAATCCTTTAAACTACTTATCAAAGTAAAAGGCTTATGAATTAAGATTAGAATTCATATATTTATACATTTCATAAATATATAGCTATAAATATATTTTTTATTTTCTAACAAGTTAATGCCTAAGCACAGATTGGTAACGTCAACCTCTCTTTGCTGATACAGGAGCAATTCACTTCATCAACATGACTCTAAACTCACAGCTGTCCTATAAGCATCCCTTGGTAACCAATATTATTTTCTTTACCAAAATTCAGAGAGAAAAATGAACAAATGTTATGGAGCCCAAACTATCAGAGTCAGAAGAGGCCCCTTTTCCTTCAAACAACACCTATGAAGTTATACACACTGCTTTGGGGGAAATCAATCAATTACAATGCTCACTTCCCACTAGAGGGAGCCTCCTATCTTTCTGAGGAAATCTTGAAAAGGCAATTTAAAAATTCAGGAACAGTACTGCAAGATAATCTATTGTCAGTATTACCAGTTCACACAGCTTATTTATTAAAACTCAAATTATTTTTCATAGTTCTTTATGTTTTTACTAGTGCAAACACAAAAGTAAAACTACACAGTAATACAGAGTGAATCTCATGTGAATATTGCCCTGATACGAACTTCAATATAGGAAGCTCTTAACTCTTGAGTCATTTGGGACTTGGGACTTCTGTGAGATGATGTTTCTGAACACTGGTGATATACACAAAAATATGTATCGATCTAGACACTGTTACATAGTTGGTAGATCAGGGTGGTGATCTTTGAGGGATTCACAGCAAAGTCAATTGAAATCTCTACCTCTCCTGAATAGTGGTCTTGCCTGGAACCTGGGTGCTTACCAAGTAGCTTACTGAGACCTATCCCAGGCCTACGGTTTCAAGGTTTTCCCAATAGCCAAGAGGGAGGCAATCAGGGAGCACTTCACACCACTTCATTGCGAAGGCAATTTAGAGTGCTTCAGCAGGCCTGCCAACTTTAAAGTGGAAACTCCCTCGTGAAGACCCATGCATGCACAACCGACTTGGATTTGACACACACATTATATGATTCGAGAAAATGGATTAAAATCCTAGTTTTTACTTAGGCCCAAAGAACAGGAGTACAAAATTGTGCTTCAAGTTTATAGCTGCATATAAATTCCTTTCTGATTTTTGAAGCCAGACTATGGATTTCAGAATTTCAGGGGTAAATACCTGGATTATACATACTGGGTTTGGAAGACACTGTTGTAGCCTAATTAATTTTCAAATGGGAAAATAATCAAAGTGGTTTATTTGGGCATAAGAAGATGAAATTTTTTTTTGGAAGGAAATATTTCTTTGAGTTAAGCAAGGCCACTGTTAGCCATACTTGTAAATTATGTTTTTATTTTATTTTATAATATTTAAAGTTCCAACAAGACCAGTTATATAGTTACAATTAATTAAAGATAACAATTGGTTTTGATTATCTCTAACTTTATGGAAAGTACAATAAAAATGATAGAAAACTAAGATGAATAAGTTGAGAGACAAAGTCATGAATTTTAATTTACTATGTCATTACAATTATTTTGGAATATATTTTCTTCAAGTCACAGAATCATATTTTTGGACAAAACCTTAGAAAAATAAAAAAATTTTAAGGAAAATATTTGGAATTATGATGAACTTCCTCTACCCCAAATATCTGAAGGCCAATCATGACATAAGTACATGAAACTAGTAAAGAGACAGCTGTGTACAGATAGTAGAAAAACAAATTACCTCTTCGTTTCTACCCTAGAGGATTTGTCCAACACTTTAGCTGGCTGAATTATAGAAAATCTGACTTGGATTTTTCCCCCCATTGTTTGCAGAGTAGACTACAGCCAACCGTAGTTGCTCAAAGACAACCAGTCATCAGATCAAGACCCGTTTTTAACAAAAGGCAAAAATAAAAGTTACAGATCTATGTGCAAGCTTATAAGCAACGATATTTTGTGTGATAAACACATTAACATAGATTTTACAATTTTCATCCATTATCTCAGGCTGTTTTATTTCCCAAAGGTAAGGACGAGAATTAGCACTCCGTGTTCTATTGTTTTCAGTGATGTCCTCCCAGCTTTTCTCTAAAGCTGGAAAAACAGGGGACTACAAAGCAAGAGCTGGCAAATCGGTGGAAACCAATTATTCAACTCTTTTCAGTTAGTGGGGCCATTTGTCCCTGGTTTCTTGCCCATCTTTCCTCCACAAGCTACATTAGTGAACTGTGGCTCCTTGGTTGGAGCTGGAAGCATGAAGGAGTACTCTGCAAGGCCTTGGATGCTTTTGGCACTGAAAAGCAACAGTGGGAGGCATTCATTCTCTGTGTACCTGCATGACTTTTCTGATCAGGTGCTTTTATAGAAAAGGCATCTCTCTATCAAAGAGCATGACTCCATCATGATGAAGTTAATAAGTTAGATCTAGGTTCAAACCCTGGCTCTACCATTCACCAGCTTTACAAACTCAGTTATTTAAACTCTTTGGCCTTGTGTCATCAACAGTAAATATGTAGAAAGTATCTACTTCACAGGGAAGTTGTATGGATTATGTGGCCAATCTTACATATGATACATATTCAAGTAATTTCCATCTTCTTTGCTTTCTCCTGTTATCCTGCTGATAAAACAGATCAGGTTTTTCTTTTAAAATTAACAAAAAGAGAGATGTCATGAGCTGAACAATTAGCAAAGGCCTGAATTCAAGTGATTAGTTTATAGCCAGCTGAGAAGTAGAATGAGGTACACTCGTAACTTTTCCAGGCTAGCTTTTGTGAAATACTTAACATCATTTCAGGTGATTCCTTGGCCTGCATGTATGTATGCATTTATTTAATAGATATTAAAGCCTCATTCTGTGCCAGGCACTAGGGTTTAAGGATGAGTATCTCTGCCCTCACTAAAATGAGGACTCACATTTTAGTAAAAGGGAAAGATATACAATCAAACCCAGCAGACAGGAGAGAAGCATGAGGTGGGCCAAGGAGGGCAGAGGTGCCTTCCTGGCAGCCAAGATGGGTTGTGTATTCAAGAGGGAGGTGAAGCCTTTGACAGTGGGGGGCTACTGGCATCCCTAGAGGCCTGCCCGCTGGCCTGGCTTCCCAAGAATCTGTAGATCGACGCTGGTTCTTTTGTAAAAATAAATACATTATTTAAAAAGGCAATGGAAACATTTCTAAAATCAATAAATCCTGAGGGCAAAATGGAGGTGCTATTTGAGATGGGCATAATCCTTATTCATTCAAGACGTGATCTGAGTCCTTACAGTACACCAGCCACTCAAGGCATAGCCAGGTTTTATCTTCCATTTAGAGATGAGGAAAATGAAGCTCAGAGAGGCTAAAATCACAGGCTATGATGATAATAAAAGTTGTCAGACACTAACAAGTTAGTAAGGGAGGTTAAGGCGATGCTTTGAAGAGCTCTAAAGAAGAGAACTGTTGCTGGTCTGTTCTCCTGAAGTACAGAGCTGTCTTTTGGCAGCCTGATGGAGACTTAAGGAGATGCATTAGTGAGAGCCTAAAAATCACTCTAAGACTTAATGAATACTTTACATCTCATATAGACAAATGCTTAATGAACCCATTATGATGAATCTTAAGGCTCCCTACCATTCTGGAACATTAGGTTAAGTTCGGAGAGTTAAGTTAGACATATTAGACATCACTAACTATTTAAAACATAATGGGACCACTGTCTACACTCACCATTTACTCTCTGAGGATTCTTAGCCTATGTGGAGAAATGGCAACACATTAAGAAAATATGACTCAGATTTCATTACCAGGAAAAGAAAACTATACTGTCTGTAACATCAGTTCACTATTATAGGTCTTTACAATTTTAATTTTTGACAAATATATTTTTTAAAAAAAGGTCTTTTATGTACACACATGAGGCAAAAGATTATATTTTAAAAATTGCCAATTTATACTGTAAAATATGAATTCTGGGAAGGGTTATTAGTGAATTTGTTTCTTATAAAATGGCATTTATACTTATGGTTGCTCTTGAAAATTTTCAAAAATAAAATCAATATGTTGTGTTTTCACTTTCTTGAAGTAAAAAACTCAAAGTAGTCCTAATGTAAAGCTGTGG